>NC_000001.11:211517920-211669435 GCF_000001405.40 Homo sapiens
ACATGAACTGGGAACATGGAAGACAAAGGTAAAAGAGCTGGTAAGGGAAGCAAAGCAGGTTTGGGAATAAAGCTTAAAATCTGGTACAGAGTGGGTTACCATGCCGTCCCTCTGGGGCTGACACATCAGGCGGAAGCCCCCAAATACAGGGTTAGTCTTGTCATGTTACAGTTCTCCCACTGGGCTGAGAACTTCCCAAAGACACAAGCCATGTTTCTTCCTCATCTTATAACTTGTGTAAAAGGCTGGATCCCTTGGAGTACAATCTTCTCACTGGGCACCTGCTGGCCATAGGCCAGCCCGCAGAGAGCAGGGCAAGGGTACGCATGTGCCCCCGAGTGGCTCTCTTAGCCAGGCTGGGCCAAGGTTCACCCATTTCCAAGCTCAGCCTCTGGGCATACCATGTTTGGAGCCCAAGGGCAGTTTTCCATGCAACGAGGCACGTATCACTCTCTACCACCTTGTCACCTTCTGGGACCTGCGTGGACTCCAAATCCCTCTCTCTAGATGTAAAATTGAACCTGGTGGAGGCTCTGCAGCTGATGTGAAACCACCACTTCCTCTCTCCCCAGATGGTTCCAGCCAGAGGCCAGCCAGTCAGCCCTGTTAGGGTGAGCACCTACTGTGTGCAGAGCCAAGTGCTCAGTGTATGATACTCACCTTTTGTTTTGCCTGCCTATTATCCCTTCCCCTTATTCTGGCAAAAGCTTTCCAATTCTTAACCTTCCACTTGTAGTCAGTAAGATTCCCACAGGGCCCATTGCCAGAAGGAAGCCCCTGGGCCAGGCCTGGCCACAAGATATTTTACCCCAGCCTCTGACACTGGTCACAGAGATCATCAGCACCAGGGCTGTAGCTGGAACTAGTGGGAGGAGAAACTCTCTCTACTGGTGGATTACATGAGCCTGGGACTGCTGATGGGCATCTTGCATCACCAGGGGAGAGCCACGCCAAGGAACAGAGAAAGACCAATTCCTGAGGACATCGCTTAGGCTCCTGGAGCCACCGTGGCTGGAATGGCCAAGCTATGACTGCCTACATTTCCTAAGTTACTTTGAATTGGGTTTTCTGTCACTTGAAACTAATAATGGTGACCAAAATGAGGAGAGGAGGGTGCTCAGAGAAATAAAGAGAGGAAGTGAAATGATTTCTACTTTCAGAAAGGTCCCAGGCTGAGGGGAAATATGGTTTTCATCCTCGGGTGTCTGAACACATGATCTTCCATTTTTTTAACTGTGTGTGTGTGTGAGAGAGAGAGAGATTGTGATATATATATATATATATACACATACATATGTGTATATATACATATACACATTGAGAAAAATTCTTATACTTTTTATTTCTTTGTCAAAAAATACATATCCAGAATGGAAAACTTATTTAAAAAAGAAAAGAAAGAAAGAAAAAAGGAAGGAAGGTAACCTGTATGCCACCCTCCACTGTTACTCTTTTTCAGTGGGTTCATGTGTGCATACACCTTTAACAAACTACAGAGGGTCATCTGGTAGAGATTACTTCAATTTGTTTTTCTCCCCACTTACCAACACATGGGGATCTTCTTTGCAAAAACATAGAGGAAACTTTTAGGAGGCAAGTCTCATGGCCCTACCGTGTTCACATGCATCTCGCCACCCAGCCTGTCATCTTGTTTCCTAAAAGAGGCACAGGAGGCCATCTGTGGATGAAAAGTGCCAATTATTCTCCATAGTGTCGCTGTTAGAGAAAGTCTTAAAAAACAGAGCATTCATTCACTCACTTGTTCAATAAGTAAATATTTAAGTGCCTCTCAACATGCAGGGCACTGAACTATGCGCTTAGGGTATGATGAACAAAACCAGACATTGTCTCTGCTCCTTGGAGCTTACAGCATAGTGAGGCAAAGTCATTCATCAAACACTTGCCAAACACGTGTAAACCACTGGCTGGCACAGATGCTGAAAGGGCATAGCATAGGCAGGTTTGGTCCACTCAGGAGGGCTTTCCTGAGGAAGTGAGGTGTGGGCTGGAATCTAAAGGATGAAAGGTGCTAACCAGGCCAAGAGAGCGATGTGAGCATTTCAGGGAAAGGCACTGTAGTTGGAGAGAGTATGGCTGGAGTGGAGAGAGGGGGAGCCAGTGTCCCCCACCGTGAGAGTGGGTGGCAGAGAGAGAAAGGAGCCAGGTGATGCAGGGCCTTTGAAGTCACATTGCTAAGTTTTGTCATGGTCCTAAGAACAAGGGGAATTGGCTGGGTGTGGTGGCTCACACCTGTAATCCCAGCACTTTGGGAGGCTGAGGTGGGTGGATCACTTGAGGTCAGGAGTTAGAGACCAGCCTGGCCAACATGGTGAAACCCCATCTCTACTAAAAATACAAAAAATGGGCCGGTTGTGGTGGCATGCGCCTGTAATCTCAGCTACTCGGGAGGCTGAGGCAGGAGAATCGCTTGAACCTGGGAGGCGGAGGTTGTAGTAAGCTGAGATTGTGTCACTGTACCACTGCATTCCAGCCTGGGTGACAGAGCGAGACTCTGTCTCAAAAAAATAAATAAATAAATAAAAGCGGTTGGGGGAAAAAAGGGGAGCCACTGAAGTTTCCCCAAGCAGATGCGTGTATGACATGACTAGTTTTGTGTTCTGTAAAGATTCTGAGGCTGCGTCGTGAGAAATGGGCTGGACAGATCCTAAACAGACTGGAGTGTAGTCGGCAGACAGCTATTGCAGTAGTCAAGGGATCAGAGGGCAGGGTAGCTTGCCATAGGGTGATGGTACAGGAAATGGAGAAAAGAGGAGGGCCTGGAGATGCATTTAGAAGATAAATCAGAACTTGGTAATCGATTGGCTATGCAGAGTGAGAGAGAGTGTGTCGGGAGACTCCTGCTTTATTCCTGTCTTGCTCAACTGGGTAGGTGGCACCACCAGTCATGGAACTAGAAAACACTGTAAGAGAACCAGCCAGGCTAAGGAGAAGGTTAAGTGTTCCACCTTAGGCATGTCGAATTGTGGGAATCTTTGAGACCTCCAAACAGAGATGTCACTTAGGCAGTTGGATGTCTCAGTGAAGAGCTCAGAGATCACTTGTATGAGTGTGCACTGACCCGCGAATCAACCAGCTGGTGTGGATTCTGATCCCAGCTCACTGTGTTTCATTGGTGAAATCACTAACCCACTCTGGGACTCAGCGTCCTCAAGTGTCCAATGAGGGGTTGGACCACAATTCTGTCCAGCTCTAACATTCTCTGAATCTGTGAGCACATGAGGATGGAATATTGCCCAAACTTCTCTAAATTCCTCCCAAAACCAGGGAAAGAGGTCCTCCAATTTTAGGAGTGTTTCTGGCTCTGTTAGACTGGTCTTCGGGATGTTCTTGTTCTGATCCTGGCTGTCTCTCTCCTAGTCAGGTCGTGGACTAGCCTGAGACCCCAGAGCCCTATTCTTGCATGGGAAACCCTAGGCCCCTCATCCTTGTTTTAAGAAAAGGAGAGAGAACTGCATGTGCCGCTGTAGCTCATGGGGAGGCAGGTTGAGGGTCAAAGGCATAGACTGTGAAACAAAGGTGTTTCTTGCCACGGACTTTCCAGGACACTTCCCCCAAGGTTTTCCCTTTGCAAAATGACTCCTCCCCTTCTCTGCTGCTAGCCTGCTCTCTCCTGAACTTTCTGCTCTCTGCACTCTTTCCAAAAATGTGTTATCAGGTGTCCATGCAGTGTTTGCTTATTTCACAAATGACCCAGTTCTTGATGATGTCCCAGGTCCCACTGACCTTTCTTGGCTAGAGTAAGTAGCCCATGAAATAATATCTTCCTGGAACTGTTTGACACCTAGTCCCTCTCCTGGGTCCTGGCCAAGAGCTAAGAACCATTCATCCAGGGCTCATTATTAATGACCTATTACATGCTAGACACTGGAGATGCAAAATGAACAAAACCCAATCCCAGCCCTTGAGAAACCTTTGTGCCAATGATTTTGAAGTGTGAACTGGACCATCATTACCACCCTCTTCACCATATTAAAACCTCTTTTCTGCACACTTGGCTTTTGAGTTGTCTCAAAGATCATTGGCCGGGCATGGTGGCTCAAGCCTGTAATCCCAACACTTTGGGAGGCCGAGGCGGGCGGATCACGAGGTCAGGAGATCGAAACCATCCTGGCTAATGTGGTGAAACCCCGTCTCTACTAAAAATACAAAAAAATTAGCTGGGCGTGGTGGCGGGCGCCTGTAGTCCCAGCTACTCCGGAGGCTGAGGCAGGAGAATGGTGTGAACCCGGGAGGCGGAGCTCGCAGTGAGCCGAGATCGCACCACTGCACTCCAGCCTGGGCGACAGAGCAAGACTCCATCTCAAAAAACAAAACAAAACAAAAAAATCATTAATGCCAGTGGCTATCATTTACCGAGGGCTTATGATGTATCGGTCTTAGTAGAAAGCACTTCACATCCTTCATCTCATTTAATCTTCCAAACACCCTGTGAAGTAGGTTCTGTTTCTCTCACTTCACTCTTGAGAGCCTGAAAGAGATTAAGTCACTTGCCTGAGTTCAGACAGCTGGGATTCAAAACCAGGTTTAATCTGACTTGAAAATACCTGGCTCTTAACCACACTGCTGTTGCCACCTTTGATGGGACGGATGGCTGCTTGTTTCCTGAGGAGTTGGTGTTAGCTACAAACTTCCAAGTTTATTAGAAGAAGGACCCCAGGAGTACAGGAATCCTGTCTTGTTTAGCCCTTATCGCAAAACACCTAGGATGGTGCCTAGTAAATATTTGTTGAATGAATTTCAATAACTGAAACACTTTGCAAATCCCCCTCCCCACTCACCACCACCAATCACAACCTTGAGAACTATCAAAGGCAATGTGTTCAATACATTAACATAATGAGGAGAATCTCTAGCTAGAAGATTTGGAGTCCCCTCCAGGCTATAGGCCCAAAGAAGTAGTTTGTTAAGTGGTTTGTTAAACCATTAGCAAATGGATAGCTACTTCCGTTGCTCAGGTGTGTTTGAATTCCTTCCTTTTATACCAAGGAGCCTAATTCTAAGCCACCACTTTCATCTACCAGTGACCTTTAATAAAGCCAAGGTTTGTTTGTTTGTTTGTAGCAAACAATGACGCAATTACTTTTGAGAAAAAAAGAGTAAATTGAAGAAAAGTTTATTTTCAGGCTGGGTGGGATGGATGGCTCACTCCTGTAATCCCAACACTCTGGGAGGGAGAGGTGGGCGGATCACTTGAGGTTAGGAGTTCGAGACCAGCCTGGCCAACATGGTGAGATCCGCCACCCCTGGCCCCCGCTCCCCAATCCACCTATTCTCCCCCGCCCCCCGCCGTCCCCCATCGCTACTAAAAACACAAAAATTAGCCAGGCGTGGTGGCGGGCGCCTGTAGTCCCAACTACCTGGGAGACTGATGTGGGAGAATCGCTTGAACTAGGGGGGCAGAGGTTGCAGTGAGCCGAGGTCACGCCATTGCACTCCAGCCTGGGTGACAGAGCGAGACCCTGTCTCAAACAAATAAAAAAACACCAAAGTTCATTATTTTCTGAATTGGCTTATCTGCTGAGAATTTAGGTGTTGGCCTGGCTGTAGTCAAAGGCTCCTAGCCCTTCAGGTAAAGATGGAGTTCTTCTCACACCACTCACACTCCTCTTCACCCTCCAGTCCCCTCTCCATATCCACTGCCTAGGACTTTCTCTGGCTCTGGGTCTTTGTCCTTGCAGTTCCCTCAGCTCCAATCTCCTTTCCCTTCCTATTTGCCTGGGTAAATTTTATTCATTCTTCAAATTCTAGGAAGTCTTCTTGAGTTTTCCGCTGCCCCCTCCGCTGACCCCCCAACCCTCTACAGCATCTGGGTTTGGTGCCTCTCCTGTATTCCCTATAGCACCAGGCACACAGCTCAGCAGTATTTTCTTGTCTTTATCCTACATTCCACCCACCCAATTTGTCCAGACACCCAATTTGTCTTAGTGTCCCCAGCTCCAAGCCTAGAGCCTGGCCCATGATAGGTGCCATTTAAATAGCATTGTGGTTGATTGTTTTACCACCTTATCAAACCCCGTAGTTGTAGAAACATTTATTGAGTACCTACTATATGCCAGGCTTCTAATGTATGTGATTACTAAACCCTGCAACAACCTTGCAGAGTAGATTTGATCACTCCTGCTTCCAAGATAAGGGAGCTGGAGCTCAGAGAGGTTTGGTAGCTTGTCAAAAGACTCACATTCAGAAAGAGACTAAGCACGGAGGTGACTCAGGCCGTTAGGACTCTAAACTCTGTCTCCTCTTTCTCCTAGCTCTGGATTTCAAGTCACCCAAATTTGTGCCATCTCTATAACTCAAAAAACAATTACGTATCAGCTGTTTGACCTTAGATAAGTCACTTGACCCCACTTGGTCTGTTTTGTTGAGTGTAAAATGCCCAGAGTGGGCCACATGAACTACAAGGCCCATGAGCTCCAAGGTGGGTAAGTTTACAAATTAGGACAAGATGGAGCTTTGCCCAAAGGAAGGCAGCACTGCAGAATAAATCCACTGGGGCCTGTTGGTGGACCCGAATCTGTGGACTTGCATGGCGCCCACGTGGCCTCAGCCTGAGAGGGTGCCTACACACGCTCCCACTCCCATGCTGTGCACTGGGCTTGTCAGTGTTCCGGACAGTGCGTGTGCAAAGGCCCCTTGGTATGCTGAGCCTGTGCCTGTGCCGGTGGCAGGCAGCTGGCTGGTTCGTCTTCTGGCTCTGGAAATGGCCTCCTGCCTCATCTGGGCCAGCCTTTCCTCAGGGAAGATGAACTTCAGCCATTCCCTGGGAATTGGGTCAACAGACCATGGGCTGCTCTCCCAGCGGCTTGCCCTGGCTAGTCCTGCTTTCTGAGGCCAGAGGAGGCCTCGCCAGTGTGCTGAGACGTCCCCCCTGCTCCACACTTGTGTCTGGTTTTGTTTCTGCTCCAAGCAGGAGGTAATCCCCAGCTCCCCGAGCTCCCTCCCCACCGCCCAACCACCCCGCTCTGCTCCTCAGGTGGAGAAGCCCATTGCCAGGAGGATAAAGCGGAAGACCCGAGCCCCTCCCAGAACAGAATGAGCCTTGGCAGCAGCTGCAATGGGGGAGGCTGGGGATGTCAGGGGAAGTGCCCTGGAAAGGGCTAAGGGGTAATAATTATGTATCCATAAAAAATAAAAATAAAAAGCCCAGGCCTGACAGCTCACACTCGTAATCCCAGTGCTTTGGGAGGCTGCGGTGGAAGGATTGCTTGAGCCCAGGAGTTGAAGACTAGTCTGGGCAACATACAGATCTCCGTCTCTACCAAAAATTAAAAACACAAACAAACAAACAAAAAAACCTGGATGTGAAGGCACACATCTGTAATCCCAGTGCTTGGGAAGGCTGAGGTGGGAGCGTCAGAGGCATTTGAACTAGAGCAACTCCATCTTGAATAGTAGCTGGGTAAAATAAGGCTGAGGCCTGCTGGGCTGCATTCCCAGGAGGTTAGGCATTCTTAGTCACAGGATGAGATAGGAGGACAATACAAGATACAGGTCACAAAGACCCCACTGATAAAACAGGATGCGGTAACAAAGCTGGCCAAAACCCATGAAAACCAAGATGGCAGTGAAAGTGACCTTTGGTCATTCTCACTGCTCCTAACATGCTAATTACGATGCATTAGCGTGCTGAAAGACACTCCCCCAGCGCCATGACAATTTACAAACGCCATGGCAACATCTGGAAGTTATCCTATATGGTCTAAAAAATGGAGGAACCCTCAGTTCTAGGAACTGCCCACCCCTATCCCAGAAAACTCATGAATAATCCACCCCTTGTTTAGCATATAATCAACAAGTAACTGTAACTCTACTCAGTAGAGCGGCCCATGCCACTGCTCTGTCTGTGGAGTAGCCATTCTTTATTCCTTTGCTTTTTTTTTTTTTTTTTTGAGGCAGAGTCTCACTCTGTCACCCAGGCTGGAGTGCAGTGGTACAATCTCAGCTCACTGCAACCTCCACCTCCTGAGTTCAAGCGATTCTCCTGCCTCAGCCTCCCGAGTAGCTGAGATTACAGGTGTGCACCACCATGCATGGCTAATTTTTGTATTTTTAGTGGAGATGGGGTTTCACCATGTTGGCTAGGCTGATCTTGAACTCCTGACCTCAAGTAATCCATCTGCCTTGGTCTCCCAAAGTGCTCGGATTACAGTCGTGAGCCCCCATGCCTGGCCCCTTTGCTTTCTTAATTAACTCACTTTCACTTTACTCTCACCCTGAATTTTCTTGCCTGAGATCCAAGAACCCTCTCTTGAGGTCTGAATCAGGTCTCCTTTCTGGTAATAGGAGGATCACTTGAGGCCAGGAGTTCGAGGCTGCAGTGAGCCATGATTGTGCCACTGCACTCCAACCTGGGTGACAGAGCAAGATCTTGTCTCAGAAAAAAAAAAAAAAAAGTACATATATGGCAAGAGAGTGAGCAAAGAAAAATAAGAGTCAGAAAAAAAGGCACAAAGAAGTGGGACCTCCACAGACCAGGGTGGGGACAAATTTTTCACAGATGACCCAGGGTCCATGCCCAGAACACCCTGGGATTAGTCACTCTTGACCAGCCAGAAACCAGCTGAGACCTGGCATGGGCACCCCAGGCATGCCCGAGGGCCCATCCAAGAGCCTTGAGACAAAGGGGTCCCAGGACCCCTGCTTTGCCTGATCGTGAGCCCAGCCAGCCACCATGATGCAAGACAGAGGGACACAGGCCTTGGCCCTGATGGACTCCCCGCTTCTGCCCAGAACCCCCAAGGTACCTATGAGATGGGCCAGGGCTGGGGCTGAGGAAGGGTGGGCAGGGTGGGAATGCAGGGCCATTGGAAAAGAAAGGCATTTGATGTCAAAAACCTGCTTTGCAACAGGAAACAAAACTTCACAAGGATTCAGGAGGAGGCACCTCATCTGGCTTCCTTCCTTCCAGGCCCTGCATCAGAGAGAAGCCTGGAGCCAGAAAGCTCCTCACCCCCAGACACCTTGCCCCCTCCACCCCATCCTCCTAGTAGGAGGGTTCCCTCCTCTCACACACCTTCCTCTACCCCTGGCTTCCCTACTGGGGGTGAAAGGGAGCATCCTTTCCTCAGATTCAGGGAATGCAGCCTCCACCCCTGCAGCCCCCACCCAGACAGGGCCATGGTGGAGTGGGAACCCCGTCCACTTCTTCCCAACCTAAGCTCGCCCTGCCCTGGCACATCAGAGAAGGAGGATGGGGAGAGAGCAGGGCCTGGGGGAATTCCCTGCACTGTTCTCTAGACAGTACATGAAAAGCATGCAAATGTCCTGCAAAAATAGCATGCCAGTCAGCACATCTTCCACCTTGGCATCCTTTGTCCATCCCCCACTCCACAGGGTCCCCTGATCCTTTAGGTCCATGCCCCACACAGCATGAAGGGGGAGGCTTTATTATCCTCCCCTCCGCTGGAACCTCTTCTCTCCCTTCCTCCCCAGCCCCTCACCCAATCTTTCCTGGTCCTCACCCTGCCCCTCTCAGTGTCTGACCTTCAACAGTTTGAGAAACATTGTGATTTGTATTTTCAGTGTGGGAATGCATTTCAAGCCTTAGAACCCTTGGCGTGTTGCTGGAAGGTCCAGATACTCTCCTAGCAGGACGTGGCAAGGGTGATCTCTACCTCCTAGTAGAGTCCTAGCAGGTCGCCTGCTGAACCCCAATTTTGAATGCTATTACTGATACTGTTTTTACTATTAGGGCAGGAACCCCTAGAGCCCAGAGGTTAAGATTCATAATAAAGAGCTGCATGGCTATCAGCCCTGAGCTGAAATGAGCAGCCAGTTTAGAATTTAGCATTGGGAGAGTTGCATGTAAAGCAATGGCCTGAAGCTACCTAGAGTAGTTTCACTGACGCTGGTTCTTTTAGTGAACTGCCTTGGGCCCTGCTCAACCTCAGGCTGCCTTAGGGGGACAGAAATGGAGCTTTATCTCCCATGTCCTCAAAGTGCCAGGCTGGGTGCCTCTGCCCCCTGCACGTGGTCCATGACTGATCCCAGCAGCACCAGCTCAGCCTGGTCCTGCCTCCTCCCCAGCCCCTTCGCTGAACTGGAAGGAAGGCCCCCACACCCACTGCCTTCTTGAGCTTGGCCCAGACTCAAGCAGGTCTGGCTACAACTCCTGGAATAGAAAGGAAACCCAGCGACCCATGAGCCTCACTCTGCCTTGGACAGGAAATGCTTCAGCAGGTTTCAAAGGCACAAGAGCCAAGGGAAGGAAGCTACTTGGGGAGGGTACCCAGGGCAGGCCAGGGCCTCCAGAGGGTGGAAGAAGTGAGAATGCCAGGCCTTGAGCCCTGCGGCGAGGTCAGAAACCTTGTCCATGACTGAGCTATGGAGTCCACAGGGAGTGGGGAGCAGTGCCCAGATCCGCCACTGAATCCAGTACCCACGGACAACTGAGCTTGCAGCCACTTCCACACTAGCCATGCCTTCTTTTTTTCTTTTTTTTTTGAGCTGGGGTCTTGCTGTGTCACCCAAGCTAGAGTGCAGTGGCAGGATCTCAGCTCACCGCAGTCTCAACTTCCCAGGTGTCTCACGTGTCCGTGTGAACAGATCACCAAACAGGCTTTGTGTGAGCAGCATAGCTGTTTATTTCACCTGGGTGCAGGCAGGCTGAGTCCAAAAAAGGAGGCAGCAAAGGGTTGTGGGATTACCATTGGTTCTTATAGGTTTTGGGATAGGAGGTGGAGTTAAGAGCAATGTTTTTGGGGCAGAGGGTGGATCTCACAAAGTACATTCAAGGGTGGGGCGAATTATAAAGAAACTTCTTAAGGGTGGGGGAAATTATCAAGAACATTGATCAGTTAGGGTGGGGCAGAAACAAATCACAATGGTGGAATGTCATCAGTTAATGCTATTTTCACTTCTGTGGATCTTCAGTTGCTTCAGGCCATCTGGATGTACACAAGCAGGTCACTGGGGATATGATGGCTTAGCTTAGGCTCTGAGGTCTGACACCCGGTTCAAGCGATCCTCCCACCTCAGCCTCCTGCTGTTGCTGGGATCACAGGTGCATACCACCTGGCTAATGTTTGTATTTTTTATAGAGATGGGGTTTTGCCATGATGCCCAGGCTGGTCTTAAACTCCTAAGCTCAAGCAATCAGCCTACCTCGGCCTCCCAAATTGCTGGAATTACAGGTGTGAGCCACCGTGCCAGCCGAGCCATGCCTTCTTCATGGCCCAGCCTCGAGGGGTGGCAGATGCATGGTTCTAAGTGACCACCACTCAGTACATCATTCTTCTATTGACCACAGTTATGTTGCCAGTCAGTGCCTGCAAACCACTTGGATTTAACCAATGTGTCCCCAGAGCAGTAAGTGAAAATCCTGGGATATCAGGTCACCAGGAAGGCAAGTGTGATGGAAAGTTGAGGCGCTATATACACAGAGGACAAATTTTTGATCCCTGGTTCCACCACATCTTCTCCGTGTTGCTGCGGGCAGGTCACTTAATCCTCTGAGCCTCCTTTGTCTCATCTGTAAGATAGGATGGTCATATCTATCTCAAACAGCTATTTATGGGTTGAATGAAATAGATCAGTGTTTGCTTGGCACACAGTGGTTGTGAAATAAATAGTAGTTCTTAAAATTAATTGGAGAGACAGAACGTACACATCCAAATCGAGTCATTCAGCCACCCCCACACCAACCCAAAGTAGTCTCGCTCCCACTTCCTCAGCCTTGCACACAGCTCTTCCAACTCCTACACCTTCTGCCAAAACCCCCAGACACGCCTTCTGCAGCAAGCCTTCCAGAACAAACTTGTCTATTCATGGCAACCGTCCCTTCACGCCAGACTTCCACGACGTCCCTGCTGCTCATGGAATGCCACTCCCGTGGTTAAACTTGGTCATCTTCTCCATCAGACATGAGCAGGAACTGCCTCTCCCAATCAGCCTAGTATCCAGATGCCAGCCACTCTGGAGCCCTTCATGCAGAACCTACAGAAGCCACACTCCTTTCTATCTCAAGGTCTTCGCATGCGCCCCTCCCTGGGCCTGCAATGCTTGATGATCAGCCCCCTCACCCACTCCGCTCAGCAAGTGGCCAGAAGAACTCTTAGACTGCCTCTAGGACTCAGCATAAATACTACTTCCTCCAGGAAGGCTTCCTTGACTCCCAAACTGAAACAGGTTTCTTATTTTACCTTTCCATGCAATCCAGGAATCTCTTTCAGAGCACTGGCAGCTAAAAATAATTAATTAACAGCAACACTCCTTTAATGCTTGTCCCACATTAAGCTGCAAGTTTAATGAGGACAGGAGCAGGTATATTGTGTTCCCTGGTATATTCTCAACACTTAGCTCAGTACTCGGTGTACAGAAGTGCAACAAATACTTGTCAAATGAATGAATGAATAAATGAATGAATACAACCTCTCCCCACCACACCCAGGTTCCAGCATAAATCTGTTCATATAACACCCTCAGGGGCCAAGAAGGACACACAGGAAGACCTTCTGATTCCAGCTGTGATATATTTCTTCCTGGGAACATGTTGCCTTTTCTTGGTTGAGCCACGAGTCTCCAGGTTTTCTGTACATTGCAAACAACCCTTTCCCCTCCCTGAGGAACACATTCCCCAGTAAGAAGAAGACACCCCAAAGGCTTCCCCCACTGGGAAAGGCTCGGTGCTAACCACATCAGGTTAAATAATATGGTTTGCATCCTGTTTGCTTTGAAGCACATTTGGCAGACATGCATCACAGGCTGGAAATCGCCCCCTCACCCACTTACTTGCTCCAGCCCCACTGGGCAGTCCCCACGAACCATGGCTGAAACAGCCTGTCTAGATCCTCAAGTCCCCTCCCACCCCCAGTGCCCCTCAATGCTTATATTTGGCCTTTGCCCAGTTCTAACAGGGGGTGGTCTCACCAAAGCCTTGGGCAGCAGCCAGAACCCATGGGGCTCTGTAGTGTGGACTGTGGGCTTTGGCCAGGTGAGCACTGAACCAGGAGACCCAGGGTTTGGCCACTGTGTGCCTCTTCCAGCCTCTCAGCACTTAGCTCAGTACTCGGTGTAATAGAAGTGCAATAAATACTTGTCAAATGAATGAAAGACTTCACTTCTCTGAGCTTGTTTCCCTGCTGATAAATGGGGGCAATGGAGTGATGACACCTGTGTTTCCCACCTCACCGGGTGGGTGTAAATGCCAACTAGGAAAACAGAGGGGAGTCTCTGCAATGGGCGGGACACCATGCAAGGCACTGGGGAAATCAAAATGAAGGAGACCAGTCCCTGCCTGCAAAGAAATTGAGTCAACAGTAAACAAGCAAAGAGGCCCTCATAATACAGCGTGTTAGAGGAGTGAGAGGGTGCTGCCAAAGCGGCCATGTCACCCACGAAAAGAGCTGATGCCAAGGGTCACAGACAGCCTCGGAGTGAGTAAAACATCACCAACAGGGAACTCAGGCCAACCTGTTCGTCACTCTTGCACACTTGCTCTGTGGCCTTGAGCAAATTACTTGCCCGCTCTGTGCCTCATTGAGATGGGAGGAATTCATGAATGAGCACATATGAGGTGCTTGGAACAGTTCTAGGGCAAAAAGCAGGGGCTAAGGCAGTGTCAGCTATGATTATGGTTATTCTGTTTTTAATCCATTCAACAAATATGTACAAGGCTCTGTGTTGGGCATGGGGGGTGTGTCAGTAAACCGAAAGGACTGAAAACCCTGCTCTCGTAGAGCTTACATTCTGGAAGGGAAAGAAGCAAACCAAATAAGCACAGTAGTTAATGTGTTTGATGAGTAGGAGTGCTTTGTAAAAAAAAGAAAGCAGAAAGCGGGTATAAGGCGCTCCATCACTGTGGGACGGGTTCCCCAGGGAGGGTTCCGATGGGAGGCACCCAGTCAGGGAAGAGGCTGGGGTGAGCAAAGGCCTGGAGGAGGTGAGAGGAACCATGGATTCGGCTGGAGAAAGTGGTCCAAACAGGAACAGCCGGGCCTTATCCTGTGTTGCTATTAATACATCTTCAGCTGCAAAATGGAAATGAGAAGTTGCTGTGAGGATTAAATTAGGTAACAAATGCCCGGCACATGGTGAGCACAGAATAAATGCTAGTGCCTCTGCCACTCCCTTCTCATCCCACAGGGCTCCTTGCAGTTATTAGATGTTTGGGTTCCCCAAGCCAGATTGTGCTTCCTCTCTGGTGCAGGGCGTCTTCTGCTGGTCTCCCAGTGGCCCCTTGAGCACTGCATGGGCTGGGATCTGGAGGAGGGACAGCAGGTTGCTGAAGGCCCTTGGGATGACCCAGGGATCTCAGACCAGAGCATGGAGGGCAGACACTGGCCCGTTGCCTTCTAGCTGTGGTATCTTGGCCAGGGACAGTAATAACAGTTGTCACCTACGCCAGCACATTTTATCGCTTAATCCTTCTCCTGCCCTGGGAGGCAGATATGGAACGTGAGCCTCAGAGAGTTTCACACAGTGAGAAGATAGAAAAGCTGAGATCTGAGGCTGAGGTATGAGACTCCAAAGCCCCTGCTCTCGGCAGGGTTGCCAGATTTACCAACAACAAACAAAAACAAAAGCAGTACACCAGCTTAAATTTGAATTTCAGATAAACAAGAGATAATTTTTAGAAGTACAGCTATCCCTTGGTATCCCTGGGAGATTGGTTCCAGGACCCCACAGATACTAAAATCTGAGGATGCTCAAGTCCCTCATATAAACTGACATAGTGTTTCCGTATAACCGTATAACTGCCCATATACTTTAGCTCATCTCTAGGTTATCTACAATACCTAACACAATGTAAATGCTTTGTAAATAGTTGTTAGTTATAAGGTATTTTTTATTTGTATTATTTTTATTGTTTTTAAAAAATATTTTCTATCTGCAATTGGTTGACTCCATGGATGAAGAACCCACAGATATGGAGGGTCAACTGTAGATCCCAAATACTAAATGACATGTTGATAGTAAAAAAGTATTCATTGGCCGGGCGTGGTGGCTCATGCCTATAATCCCAGCACTTTGGGAGGCCGAGGCAGGTGGATCTCTTGGTCAGGAGATCGGGACCAGCCTGACCAACATGAGAAAACCGCATTTCTACTAAAAATACAAAAATTAGCCGGGCATGGTGGTACATGCCTGTTATCCTAGCTACTCAGGAGGCTGAGGCATGAAAATTGCTTGAACCTGGGAGGTGGCAGTTGCAGTGAGCCAAGATTGTGCCACTGCACTCCAGCCTGGGTGACAGAGTAAGACTCTTATCTCAAAAAAAAAAAAAAGGCCAGGCGTGGTGGCTCACGCCTGTAATCCCAGCACTTTGGGAGGCAGAGGCGGGTGGATCACAAGGTCAGGAGATCGAGACCATCCTGGCTAACATGGTGAAACCCCGTCTCTACTAAAAATACAAAAAAATTAGCTGGGCATGGTGGCGGGCGCCTGTAGTCCCAGCTACTCTGGAGGCTGAGGCAGGAGAATGGCGTGAACCTGGGAGGCGGAGCTTGCAACAATGAGCCAAGATGGCACCACTGCACTCCAGCCTGGGCGACACAGCCAGACTCCGTCTCAAAAAAAAAAAAAAAAAAGGCTGGGTGTTGTGGCTCATGCCTGTAATTCCAGCACTTTGGGACGCTGAGGCGGGTGGATCACTTGAGGTCAGGAGTTCGAGGCTAGCCTGGCCAACATGGCGAAACCCCGTATCTACTAAAAATACAAAAATTAGCTGGGCATGGTGGCAGGCACCTGTAATCCCAGCTACATGGGAGGCTGAGGCAGAAGAATCGCTTGAACCGGGAGGTGGAGGTTGCAGCGAGCCAAGATTGCACCATTGCACTCCAGCCTGGGCAACAAGAGCAAAACTCCGTCTCAAAAAAAAAAAAAAAAAGTATTCATTGTTTATCTGAAATTCAAATCTAACTGGGCATCTTGTATTTTTATCTGGCAACCCTAGCTCTCAGCCACTCTGCAGTACTGTCTCCCAGAATCAGAGGCCACTGCCTGTGGGGATGTTAGAAAAGTTAGGGATGCCAAGCACAGTGGCTCACAGGTATATCCCCAGCACTTTGGGAGACCAAGGCAGGAGAGTGGCTTGAGGCCAGGAGTTTGAGACTAGCCTAGGCAACACAACAAGACCCCACCTCTACAAAAAATACAAAAATTAGCTGAGCATGGTGGTGCTCGGCTACAATCCCAGCTACTTGGGAGGCTGAGGTTGGAGGACCGCCTGAGCCTGGGAGGTCGAGGCTGCAGTGAGCCGTGATCGCACCATTGCGCTCCGGCCTGGGCAACAGAACGAGACCCTGTCTCAGAAAAAGAAAAAGAAAAAGAAAAAAAAAGGTGAAGACATCAAGGGTGCCAATCAATTTTCCAACGATGCCCCTTGCTTGAGATTAGGTCTCACTTGAAGATGGACTGAGGCCCACCCCAGAAAGTAGGCAAAGGGCCCCCTGCTGTAGGTCCTGAGCTTTTTGGGGACACAGTCTGACCCTTTTCTGGCCAACCCCCTCCTCACAAAGAGAGGAGTCTGCAGGGCCAAGATACACCCACCCAGAACCTGCCTCCCTCACCGCCCCCTAGTCCTGGGATCTTGGAAGGCCCTGCCTAGCAGGCCCTGAGCCCACTTGCAGGGTTTGAGGGCCTCCCGAGGACTGATTATGCCACTGGTGGAGGCACCACTGGCTGGGGCTGCAGATAAAACACAGGATTCCCAGTTACATTGGAGTTTTACATACATAAGGAATACTTTTTTAGTATAAGTATGTCCCAAATATCACAACCTCTCCCTGGGCCCAAGAAGTGGCCAGGGACTGCTGTTTGGTGGTGTGTGGTTGTGCGGGCTGGGTGTCCACACAGATATTGAAGGCACTGGTGACCTCTCGTGGTTCAGAATGGTGCCAAGAGTGGGAAGAGAAGCGGGCATGGGCTGTGATCTGAGAATATCATTTGGTCTCTACTGGGCCCACAAAAGCTAGGGCAGCCTGCTTATTCCAATTTCTCTGCCTTCTCTTACCACCTCTAAGTTACCAGCCTGCGTTCCCCAGAGGGAGTGCTCTGAGCTGGGCAGTAAATGGCTGGCTGGCTTCTCCCTCTGTGTAGGGAGACTCCAGTTGCCCAGCCTGGGACACTCAACTCCACAGCCCCCAGCCCAGCCCAGGACCACCTCCTGCCCTCTGTTCCCCACTTATCCCCATGGCTTTCTCTACTCCCCTTCCTTCCTTCCTTCCTTCCTTCCTTCCTTCCTTCCTTCCTTCCTTCCTTCCTTTCTTTCTTTCTTTCTTTCTTTCTTCTTTCTTTCTTTCTTCCTTTTGTGTGTGTGAGACAGGGTCTCCCTCTGTCACCCAGGCTGGAGTGCAGTGGTACAATCACAGCTCACTGTGGCGTCAACATCTTGGACTCAAGAAATCCTCCCACCTCAGCCTCCTGAGTAGCTGGGACTACAGGCACACACCACCACACCTGGCTAATTTTTTAATTTTTTTGTAGAAACAGAGCCTCACTTTGTTGCTCAGGCTGGTCTCAAACTCCTGGCCTCAAGCAATTCTCCTGCCTTGGCCTCCCAAAGTGTTGGGATTACAGGTGTGAGCCACTGCATGAGGCCCTCTCATAATGTTTGCTTTCCCCAGGAGGGCCAGAGGGCATCAGCCCCAGAGATGGGCTGGAAAGATTGGGTCATGATTGCTCTGGTGCAGACAAGTCTGATCTGGCCAGTTCTCAGCTGACGGAGGTGGGAGTGAAGGCTGCAGGAACTTCCACTGGCCTCTTGACCTATTCTAGAACCCTGTGGAAAATATGCTGCTCTCCTCTGGAGGAACTTCCCAATGACTGAGGTGCGCTGGGGCCCTACTCCATGTCTTGTGTATGCCTCGATCCTGTGCATACAGGCACATATATGTAAAGTGCCTAGAACAGTGCCCAGCACATGTGAGCACTAAATATGCTGGCTATTACCATTATCATTACTTACAAATGACACATAGTCACCAACTTTTTTTTTTTTTGAGACGGAGTTCTGCTCTTGTTGCCCAGGCCAGAGTGCAATGGCATGATCTTGGCTCACTGCAGCCTCTGCCTCCCAGGTTCAAGCGATTCTCCTGCCTCAGCCTCGGGAAAGTAGCTGGGATTACAGGTGCCCACCACCACACCCAGCTAATTTTTGTATTTTTAGTAGAGATGGGGTTTCACCATGTTGGCCAGCCTGGTCTTGAACTCCTGACCTCAGGTGATCCACCCGCCTCTGCCTCCCAAAGTGCTGGGATTATAGATGTCAGCCACTGCGCCTGGCCAGTCACCCACTTTTATGTTCCTCTTACTCACTGGACAGTGAATTCCGTAGGGGCTGGGGCTGTGTTTGGTTTAGTAGTCTTAGTGTCTGGTACAAACACATATGTGCTCAATAAATGTTTCTCTGATGAAAACAATGGACAGGGATAGGCTCAGTGCCTCATGCCTGTAATCCCAGCACTGTGGGAGGCCGACATGGGAGGATCGCTTGAGGACAGGAGATCAAGACAAGCCTGGGTAACACAGCAAAACCCCATCTCTATAAAAAATTTTTTAAAAATTAAAATAATGAAAAAAGGAAAACAATAGATAGTCTTTAGTTATTCTGGCTTTGTGTACCTGAATTTTCTCTCCACGCTATAGGTGCAGATTGGGTCACAATCAAATGCCACTGTCTCTTGTGCCCCCTTTCACAGGGCCTCAGACCCCTGCCACCTCCCTGCTCCCTTGCCCTCACCCCTAGACACCTTTGCCTGGGTCTCTGCCCTCCCAGTGGGCCCCACGGTGCATCACCAGCCACTGCCACAGGTTGCTTGGCCCTCGGGTGTCAGGGGCTCTAGACTGTGAGGGTAGACGAGTCTCCCCTTGGCGTTATGCGTGGTAGGAGAGGCCAGAGCCCCATTCGTGGGAATGGTGATCCCATTTTGTGTCAAGTCCTCTTCCTAGGGCTCAGACCAGCATGGGGCTGGAAAGACCCCTCCTCCGATGGGCTGCAGGTCGCTTTGCCCTGCTGATGGCAGGCTTGGTTACCCATCTCCTTCCTGGGGTAAGTCTGCTCCCTGGAGGCTGGAGGCTGGAGGCTCTGGGAACTTGGAGCAAAACTTCTTTTTTTTTTTTTTGAGACAGAGTTTCGCCGTTTTTGCCCAAGCTGGAGTGCAGTGGCACAATCTTGGCTCACTGCAACCTCCACCTCCTGGATTCAATCAATTCTCCTGCCTCAGCCTCCCAAGTAGCTGGGATTACAGGAGTGTGCCACCATGCCCAGCTTATTTTTGTATTTTTAGTAGAGACGTAGTTTCACCATGTTGGCCAGGCTAGTGGCCAGGCTAGTGACCTCAGGTGATCCACCCACCTTCGCCTCCCAAAGTGCTGAGATTACAGGCCACTGCGCCCGACCTGGAGCAAAACTTCTGTAGGTTGGCCCTGCCAGCCAGACATGTCTGAATCCTACCTTAGGCCCATGTTACCCTGGGGAGCCATAGGCACACACACCTCCACATACATGATCACACCCACTCGCACCCTCCCACACACACTCACACCCTCTCTCCCCTGATTCACTCTACTGACAGCAGCTCACAGATAAGCCACAATGTGACTAACCCACAAAGCACACACTGCACTGAGTTTTTTACTGCCTAGGAGCACCAGTTTAGGAGGAGCATGGCAGATTTAAAATCTCTTTTCACCCCTTTTCAAGCTCAGCGCTGTTTCCTCTTACTCTAGACCCCTGCATCCCTTCTGCTCCCCCCAACCTAGAGCCCCTGCTTTTTGCAAGTGGAACCCCCACACCAGTACCTCCAGAGACCCAGAGCTAGGAAGACCCAACCCCTTCCCAGGGCAGGCTGGGGAGGACAGAAAGGCTCCACATGCCCCCTGCCGTCTCTGGATGCTCTGCTGGATCCGTGAGCCTGGGGGCACCTGGGAGAGAGCTCAGACTGGGCATGGGGTCTGTAATCCCAACACTTTGGTAGGCCGAGGCAGGCAAATCACTTGAGGTCAGGAATTCGAAACCAGCCTGGCCAATAATGGTGAAACCCTGTCTGCTAAAAATACACAAATTAGCCAGGTGTGGTGACTTGTACCTGTAGTCCCAGCCACTCGGGAGGCTGAGGCAGGAGAATCGCTTGAACCTGGGAGACAGAGGTTGCAGTGAGCTGAGATCATGCCACTGCACTCCAGCCTGGGCAACAGAGCAAGACTGTCTCAGAAAAAAAAAAAAGAAAAAGAAAAAAATAAAGAAGGACACAAGCTCAGAAGCAGGGGTCTAAGGCTCCCTTTGCTCCGGGCATCTGGGTACATGTGTGGGGCCCAGGCCTGAGCTGCCTACTTCCACCTGCAGTGACTTCTCAGCCCCAAGCCCAGCACTACGCCCTGCCCTGTGGCTCCGTCTCTTTGTCTCTTTCTCAGCTCTCCTCTGTCCTCCCCCATCTTTATCCAGTCTCCCTCCGACCCTGCCCACTGCACCTGGTCCTTCCTGTTCCTCCCTGGCCTTCTTGCAGGCTTCGTCACTTGCTTCCTGGCTGTCCTCTCTTTGCCCAGCAGCTGGTGGCCCCATCCATGTCCCCTGAAGGGCAGGGCCTTTCAGGAATCCGCTTCTGAGAAGGAGCCACGCTCAATCCTGGGGGACAGAAGGGGCAGATGGGGGAGGGGGAGATGACAAAAATAGCTCCTTGGCTGAGCAGGGAAGAGAGCGGGAGCATCGGGAATGGGAGCAGACGGGGAGAGGAAGGCGGGCCAGAGCTGGGAGGTCAGCAAGGCAGGAACAAGCAGATGAAGAAACTACCACCTGACAGTGATGATGTCTGGGCCTGGAGTGGGGCAGGGAGGAGAAGACCCTCTCCAGGTCTCTGCAGGGAGTCCCCTGGCTTTCCCATGTCTGGAATCTCTCTTCAGATCAGTGACAGACAATGAGGCCTCCAGGTACCTGGATTCGGGACTCCCCCCGGGGCTTCTCGAGAGCAGATGGTGGACCCTACAGACGCTGCCGTCGGCCTTAGAACAGTCACCCCTGGGCACATGTGTCCATTCCATTCCCATTTACCAAGTGCCCATAGGGACTGGGCATGGTGCTGCGGTAGGGGCTCACTGTCTGGAGGTCCTGAAGAGACCCTCTCATTCAGCCTCTAGGCACACCACATGTGCCTCCCTCAAACACAGCACTAATTTTGGGCTCAGCAGCAAACAGGGTTTCATCCCTGTCTCACTCCCAGAGCACTCAGTCCAGGAGAGACAGAGGGCTAAGCAGGCCATTGCAACCAGAGAATGGAGGGTACAGGGTATGGTGGGGCCTGGGGCTCAGCACCTACCCCAGGCTCTGGTAGACTGATTGTTAGTTCAGACCAGATTTTGATCACTATGTAATCTGATCCCTATCTCCCTTGCCAACCTGTTTCCCACTGGGCCTGTCCTGGAAGCACATACACCAATACAACACCTCCTAACAAGCAAGTCCCATTCAGTCTTCAAGCAAAGTTCAGCTCCCACTCTGCACCTCTGCGACACCCTTGCCTTCACGTGAATGTCCCTTCCCTTCAGCCTGCCCAAATCTCCACGTCCTTCTGAACCCAGCTTGCGTGCTCACGCCTGTGAAGTCCCTGACCATGAAAAGCCATTCCTTGCCCTGGCCCATCAGTTATAGCCTGTGCCCGGCAGGCATGGATTGCCGCCCGTTATTCCATGTAGGTCCTCCCTGGTGACGGCTGTGCTGCCCAAGGACAAGGGCATGTCTTATACAGTTTTTCCTGAGGTATAAATAAGCGTCATAATCATAGTTATCATCTTCTTTTTACCATCATTCATGTGCATGAAATTTCCCACAGAAAGAAGGACATTGAGTGTGACTTGAACGTGTCATACTGCTCCTTGTACATGATTTCATTTAATCTCCATCACACCTCTTGGATGGACACTGTAACTCCTTTTTTTTTTTTCTGCGACAGAGTCTTGCTCTGTCACCCAGGCTGGAGTGCAGTGGTGCAGTCTTGGCTCACTGCAACCTCCATCTCCCGGGTTCAAGTGATTCTCCTGCCTCAAGCCTCCCAAGTAGCTGGGACTACAAGCATGCGTCAGCAAGCCCAGCTAGCTTTTGTATTTTTAGTAGAGACAGGATTTCACCATGTTGGCCAGGCTACTCTTGAACTACTGACCTCACATGATCCACCCACCTTGGCCTCCTAAACTGCTGGAATTACAGGTGTGAGCCACCGCACCCGGACCCTGTAACTCCTATTTTAAAGAGGAGGAAAGGCAGCTTGGGGCCCAGCAAAAGCAGCAAGGCTAGATTAAGCACCATTTGATACAGTTGGTCCCTCTCTCCTGCTTGAGGCTATCTCTTCTGGGATAAGCGTTTCCTGGCTTCCCTCCTACCTCCCTGATTGTGCCTTCTCTTCTCTTGGGCTTCTGAAGAGTGCAGTGCTCAAGGCTCAGCCCTCATCCTTTTCCCCATCTGCACTCCCACACTCATGATCTCATTCACCATCTGCAGAATGACACCCCAAACTTACATTTCTAGTGCAGACCTTTCTCCCATAATCCTGACTCCTATACCTAACTGCCTGCTAGGCTCACCCAGCTGGAGTCTGGCAGACATCTCCAGTGGACCAGACGGAATGCAGTGCTCCTGAGCTCCCTGTGTTAGTCTGGTTTCTTTTTTCTTTTTCTTTTTCTTTTTCTTTTTTTTTTTTTTTTGAGACAGAGTTTCGCTCTTGTTGCCCAGGCTGGAGTGCAATGGTGCAATCTTGGCTCACCACAATCTCTGCCTCCTGGGTTCAAGTGATTCTCCTGCCTCAGCCTCCCGAGTAGCTGGGATTACAGGGATGCACCACCATGCCTGGCTAATTTTGTATTTGTAGTAGAGACAGGGTTTCTCCATGTTGGTCAGACTGGTCTCGAACTCTCGACCTCAGGTGATCTGCCCGCCTTGGCCTCCCAAAGTGCTGGGATTACAGGCATGAGCCACCATGCCCAGCCGGGATTAGTCTATTTTCTTACTGCTGATAAAGACATACCTGAGACTGGGCAATTTACAAAAGAAAGAGAAGTTTGATGGACTTACAGTTTCATTAAACTGGGGAGGACTCACAATCATAGCAGAAGGCAAGGAGGAGCAAGTCACATCTTACATGGATGGCAGCAGGCAAAGAGAGAGAGAGCTTGTGCAGGGAAACTCCCTTTTTAAAACCATAAGATCTCATGAGACTTATTCACATCATGAGAACAGCATGGGAAAGACATGCCCCCATGATTCAATTATCTCCCACCAGGTCCCTCCCACAACACATGGGAATTATGGGAGCTACAAGATGAGATTTGGGTGGCAACACAGAGCCAAACCATATCATCCCCCACCCCTCCCAAGCCTGCCTCCAGCCCCTGCCTGAGCCCCCATAGCCTCCTGTCTGGGTATCATGCTGGGCTCCGAGAGCTGCTCTCCCATTTCCCACCTTCTTGCTCAGCAGTGGGAGGGATCCTTTACAAAGAGAAGACAGGCCACTGTTACACCCTAAGTGATGTAGCCCCCACCCTTCGACAATCCCTCAGTCTCCAACTTTCCACATCACCCCCTCCACTCCAGCTTCCTGGTCTCCAGCTGTTGCTCAAACACACAGTCCTGTTCCCTCTGCCTCAGCTCTGGAGACATGGTGTTCTCTCTGCCTGCCACATGGGCAGCTCCTTCACTTCCCTGACCACTCTCTTAAGATTGCAACCCCAACCTCATCCATACATGTGCTCCTGATCCCCCTTTCCCTGCTCTATTTTGCCTTTATTCCACAGCCTTAAGACCTAATTTATTTACTTTTTAGGGTTATTATAACCTCCCCATCTCCCACCAGAAGCAACCCATGGTCAGGGATCTTTGTCTTTTTGGTTCACTGCTGTATTCCAAGCACCTATAACGATACCTAGCACATAGTGGGTTTTGAGTAAATATTGAACGAAAGAATGAACAGATTATTCCATTCTCCCCTTTCACTTCTCTGTGTGCTGGAACTTCATGAGGCTCTATCTGGGAAGCTGGCCAGATGGACATGCTGTATTTTCTTAGCTTAATGACCTGGGAACAAAGAAGGGAAAGCCTTAGAAAGCCAGGAAGCTGCTGGGACAAGTTTGGCTGGTCCTGCTTTAAAAACAAAACAAAAAACAAAACAAACAAACAAAAAAACCAAAAACAACAACAGCCACTCAGATTGGGCTGAGCTCTGATGGGCCCAGCTGTGACCTCTGCACGCAGCAACACCTCCCTTATCACCCTTCTGTCTTAAACCCAAGGGGCCCAGCTGAGCTTGTCACCCAACCTGCTTGTGTCACCTAGCCTGCAGCATGCCCCACCTACTGCCCCAACCTGTTTCCTCCCATTCATTCCACCCGCAGCTTCTCCAAACACCTCCCTGCGAGGAGCTGCCTCCCAGTTCCACTCACACTCACAGATCAAAGGAGGCCTGCTTTGATCTGAACTAGCACTGGGTACAGGCAACTGAAACACCCACCCCACGTGCACACACACACACACACACACCCTTTGAGGGTTCTATCACAGGAATTGCTATGAAGGCAGTTTGATTCCGTTCAAATTCTAGCTCCACTCCTAACTAGCTTTGTGAGTGAGGACAAGTCTACTGTGCTCCCAGGGCTTTAATTTCCTCATCTGTAAGGAGGGAAATAATGCTGCCTTTGGGGTTATTGTGAGGATTAAAAGAGATTGTATTTGCAGAGAATCCAGCAGTGCACCCGCCACCCAAGGGTGCTAAATAATGGTCAGTAGCCTCACACACCCCCACCTCTTGAGAGTCCACCATGTGCCAAACACTGTTAATGGTGCTGGTGAGCAGTCAGCCCCATGGTGGGTGGGGGCGGGGGCAACCCTTTTAATGGACAGCATCTAGATGAAGGGCTGCAATGCAGAATGGCTACTGGAATTCAGCCTCTGGGTGGCAAGCAAATAGAGGAGACAATGTGGGTGATGGGGTTGGGGGGACCCTGGAAGCTATCTTAACTTCTTGCTGAGAAATGAGTGACATTTATCAAGGAGAAATTGTCAGTTGGTGTTCTAAAAAGACTTGAGGCTCATTTGCAAAACCCATGGAGAGAGGGAGGGTTTGGGGATCAGGTAACCCTGGGTTCAACTCTCAGTTCCATAGAAAAAATCTGGAAGGATACACACTTCTCTGCATAGGACTCGCTTTTCTCCCCAGACCTTTCATCAACATCCTGTTGGCAATGGGTGTCACAATAGGCTGCCACCTCTGGGCTCCCTGCCCCTCTGGCACCTGTGGGCAGTGAGGGTGAATGGCTGTTCACCTGTGAGTGGCTGCATTTTGAGGGTTTCGTCTCTAGAGGTGCTTTTGTGCTGTGTCTGTGCTCACTGGCACTGCACCACATACTTTTGCTGTGCTATAAGCTATAAAACTTCTGACCTCATAGGTAGCTGAGCTAGGTGAGCTCTGCGAGAGGAAGGCTGACATTTCCAAATGTCTTTTTTTTTTTTTTAGAGACAGAGTCTTGCCCTGTTGCCCAGTCTGGAGTGCAGTGGCGTGATCTCGGCTCACTGTAACCTCTGCCTCCTGGGCTCATGTGACCCTCCCACTTCAACCTCCCCAGTAGCTGGGACTATAGGCATGCACCACCATGCCCAGATAATTTTTGTATTTTTTCCTAGAGATGGGGTTTTATCACGTTGCCCAGGCTGGTCTCAAACTCCTGGTCTCAAGTGATCCTCCTGCTTCGGCCTCCCAAAGTGCTGGGATTACAGACAGAGCCACTGCACCTGGCCCCAAATGTCTTTTTAAAACACTGTGTAACAGTCAACACTTTCAAATGTCTTTGAAACAACAACAAAAAAAGGAAAACCAGAGCAGCCTGTGCTGCTGTAAAGCTCCAGGCAAAGTCAGGGAGGCTAAGCTGCCTTTCCCCACACTTGCCTGGCTTCCATACTCTGCTCCCCACTCTCCTCGTGCCCAAGTTCCACATTTAAATCACATATTTATACTGCAGAATGAAGATGGGCAAAATTTTTAAAATTACATATTTAAATATTCAGTTTTTCATAAAATAGACTACAATAATAAAGCTTGTAATGTTTCCAATGGATTATCAAAATTCCTTAATCTCCTTCTTTCCTCTAATATTTTATAGGGAAACTGATTTTTATCTTTATTCTTTGGAGACAGAGTCTCAGTCTGTTGCCCAGGCTGGAGTGCAGTGGCACGACCACAGGTTACTACAGCCTCTATCTCCTGGGCTCAAGCAATCCTCCTGCCTGAGCCTCCCGAGTAGCTAGGACTACAGGCACATACCACTGTGCTCAGCTAATTTTAAATTTTTTGTAGAGACAGTCTTGCTATGTTGCCCAGGCTGGTCTCCAACTCCTGGCCTCAAGTGATCCTCCTGCTTTGGCCTCCCAGAATGCTGGGATTACAAGTGTGAGCTACTGTGCCCAGCTGATAAATGCATTTTAAAATTACACAAGTGTTTTTTAAAACATGGCACTAGAGTCCTTTTGCACCAAATTTTGTGTGTGTATGGGTATGTGTCTAATCCCACTTCCTCACTTACCCGTGACCCAGAACAAGGTGCTTAATTCCCTGAGCCTCACCCTTAACACCCACTGGACATTCCTTCAATAAGAATCCACTGGGCATCTTCTAGATCAGGCATTCTTCTAGGCCCTGGGTATGGAGTGACAAAATGAATGAGACTTAACCAGGTATGTGGGGAAGCCAGACAATAAATCATGAATCTCCCATCATTTTAAACATTCAGAAGAAAAAGAAAGCAAAGTAAAGGCAGAGTGACCTGCCTTTCAAGCTGCTGTGTGGATAGTGCTACATGCAATGCCTGTTTACTCCTCTGGTCTCCTTGGCTTACCTCATCATCCCCCACAGTTCCCTGACCACAGGTGGAACACCCCACCCACACTCCCTACACTATTATGTATTTTTCCTTTTTATCTTTTTCAGCAGAAACCCAGGATAGGAACGGCAGGGGACACGGGGAGTGGGAATGGGAGAGGACCTCAGGGATACTTTGTTTTTTGAGACAGGGTCTTGCTCTGTTGCCCAGGCTGGGGCACAGTGGCACATCTAGCACCCCAGCCCCTCTGGTTCTTGATCACCTTGCTTCAAGTGGGCTTGTCCTTCATCTCACCTCAGCCACTCACTCTCGCAGCCATGCCTTAGGTATGTTATTACCAAGAACTCCATAATCTCAATTTCATGCCTCCCACTCTGACCATGGCCTCCCATCTTCCCAGTTTACTCCCTCTGGGACACCAGCTCCAATAATTCTTCAGTCCCTCAAGACTTACCCACCTTCCCCTTTTCCTTCACCTCCCCACTTTCCTTCTCATCCAGTTTAGATGATCTAATCATCATTATAATCACTCATCTCCACACATCCTCAATTCCCTTGACCCCTCTTCCTTCACTCTGCTCTTCTGGAAAAACACCAGCTTTGATTGAATCTAGCTCTCTACCTATTTATTTATTCAGAGACAGAGTCTCACTCTGTATCCCAGGCTGGAGTACAGTGGCATGATCTCAGTTCACTCCAACCTCCACCTCCTGGGTTCAAGCAATTCTCGTGCCTCAGCCTCCCAAGTAGCTGGGATTACAGGCACACACCATCATGCCAGGCTAATTTTTGTATTTTTAGTAGAGACGTGGTTCTGTCATGTTGGCCAGGGTCTCAGGTGATCTGCCTGCCTCGGCCTCCCAAAGTGCTAGGATTACAGGTGTGAGCCACTGCACCTGGCCTCTCTACCTATGTAACACCTGCATCACAATAGCTAAATGTGTCTAGAAAATATCAACCATGGCCAGGCGTGGTGGCTTATGCCTGTAATCCCAGCAACTAGGGAGGCTGAGGCATAAGAATTGCTTGAACCAGAGAGGCAGAGGTTGTGGTAAGCCGAGATCGCCACTGCACTCCAACATGGGTGACAGAGCAAGACTCTGTCTCAAAAAATTTTTTCAAAAATAGAAAATATTGGCCAGGAGCAGTGGCTCACGCCTGTAATCCTAACACTTTGGGAGGCCAAGGTGGGTGGATTACTTGAGATCAGGAGTTCAAGAGCAGCCTGGCCAACATAGTGAAAGCTCATCTCTACTAAAAATGCAAAAATTAGCCAGGCGTAGTGGCACGTGCCTGTAATCCCAGCTACTAGGGAGGCTGAGGCAGGAGAATTGCATGAACCCGGGAGGCAGAGGTTGCAGTGAGCCAAGATTGCACCATTTCACTCCAGCCTGGGTGAATAAGCAAGACTCCATCTAAAAAAAATATATCAACCATGCTAACTGGCTTTTTTTGAGACAGGGTCTCAGTCTGTCACCCAGGCTGGAGTGCAGTGGCCTGATCTCAGCTCACTGCAACCTCCACCTTCCAGGCTCAAGTGATCCTTCCACCTCAGCCTCCCGAGTAGCTGGGAATATAGGTGTGCGCCACTACGCCTGGCTAATTTTTGTATTTTTTATAGAGACAGGCTTTCACCATGTTGCCCAGGCTGGTCTTGAACTCCTGGGCTCAAGCCATCTGCCTTCCTCAGCCTCCCAGAGTGCTGGGATTACAGGTGTGAGCCACTGTGCCTGACCTAGCCTTGCTTTAAATCATAGTCAACTAATGTCAAAAATCCTTCACTTAGAAACTAGAGTCCATCTTCTCTTATCTACCCAAGATCTTACTCCAGCAGTTGTCCTTTCTTTCTCCTTCATCATCAAATTTTCACCCTCTATCAGATCACTCTCATTATCCTACAGATACGTTATTTCTCCTATCTGAAAAATAGCCCTCTCCTAATCTCACATCCCCTACCGGCTACTGCCCCATTTCTCGCTCCACTGTCTTCAGTTCGTATCTTCCTGTTCTCTCCAAGCCCCACTTCAATCAGGCTTTTCCCTTCATATCTCCACAAAACGGGCCTTCTCAAGGTCACCAATTACTTGCCAAATACTCAGCTTTCCGTTTCTGTCTGACTTCATCTCAGAATGTTTAAACCCAGTCAATTGTTCATTCGTTGGGACACTGCCCTCCCCTCTCCTGGCTTGCCTCCTACCTCACTGGCTGCCCCCTTCGTGGTGTCCTTTGCTGGCTCCTCTTCATTTTCCTGACCCCCAAACATTGGAGTGTTCCGGGGTTCTTTCTTTGGATTTCCTATCTTCTCAAGAGCCCATGTTGGTGGCTGTGAATTCAAAATAAGGCCAATTTCAACCAGGTTTATGGCTTTAAATACCTCCTCTAGGCCAGGCATGGTGGCTCACACCTGTAATCCCAGCACTTTGGGAGGCTGAGGCAGGTGGATCACCTGAGGTCAGGAGTTTGAGACCAGCCTGGCCAACATGGTGAAACCACGCCTCTACTAAAAATATAAAAATTAGCCCGGCATGGTAGTGCACCCCTGTAGTCCCTGCTACTCAGGAGGCTAAGGCAGGAGAATTGCTTGAACACAGGAGGTGGAGGTTGCAGTGAGCTGAGATCATGTCACTGCACCTCAGCCTGGGCAACAGAGCGAGACTCCATTTCAAAATAAACAAACAAATAAGTACCCCCTCTAGCTGACGACTCCTAAATTGGCCTTTCCAGCCAGATCGTTCCCCTGAATTCTAGGTTTGAACATCCAAATGTCTATTTAATATCTCCCCTGGCATGTTCAATAGTCATCTCAAATCTATCATATTGAAGACAGAACTCCCGGTCTTTCTCCCCAAAATCCACTTTTCCTGTAGTCTCCCCATCTCTGTAAGTAACGAATCCATCCTTCCAACTGTTTGGGCCAAAAAGCTTAGAGTCATCTCTGCCTCCTTAGTTTCTTTCATATGCACATCTAATCTGTCAGGAAACCCTGACAATTCTCCGAGTGCATCTTGAATCTGGCGACTTCTCGCCATCTACA
The DNA here is from genome assembly GCF_000001405.40 of Homo sapiens. Classification (NCBI taxonomy): domain Eukaryota; kingdom Metazoa; phylum Chordata; class Mammalia; order Primates; family Hominidae; genus Homo; species Homo sapiens. The sequence goes on from NC_000001.11 coordinate 211,547,769, forward strand.
CCACTGGGACTAGTCTGAACCTGACCTTGCCCTTGCCCACCTTCATTCTGCCCTCAACAATGCAGTCAGAGGATCCACTTCAAACGTGTCAGATTAGGTCATTACTCATTTCAAAGCCCTTGAATGGCAGCTCAAAAGTCTCCATCTCTTTCAGAATAAAAGCCAGCGTGCAAACGCTCTAGTGTTTCTTTGATCCTACCTTTATCTCCCACTCTGTTTCAGCCACACTGGCCTCCTTGTTCCTGATCATGGACTTCTGCAGGGCTCTTCACCTGGCATGTGCTTCCCCAGATGTGTGGCTTGCCCTTTCTCTTCTTTCAGGCCTTTGCTCAAATAGCACATCATCAGTGATGCTTTCTTTGCTCATCCTTATAAAATGGGAACCACTTCCCCTCCCAGCTTTATTTTTCTCCTTAGCACTTCTCGCTGTCTGACTTACTATAAATTTTGCCCACCTCTCCCTTCCAGAATGTAACTGCCACAAGGGTAGGGCCTGTATGTGGTTCACTGGAGTATCCTCAATGCCTAGAGTGATGCCTAGCCCACAGCAGGCATTCAACACTATTTATTGCATTAACTCAGGGGCTAGGTATGGAGGTCACAGGTGTGAGGTGAGGCTGAGAGGCGGGCAGGAGCCAGACCGGCAGGCCTCGTAGGTCTTGCTAAAGATCTGGAGGAGGTTGAAATGATCATGGCTGTGTTTGGGAAAGTCCCCTGGGCTCCAGGAGAGAGAATACTTTCTAGAAAGGTGATTCTTGACTTTGTGGGGTTTTGCGTGGGCAGGTCTGAAGATTTGTTTTCTGGAAAGGCAGCTTCTACTTAGAAGGGGTAGGGGGAAGAGCTCTGGGACTAAGGAGGTCTCTGCATTTTGACAAGACTACCACATGGGGCTGTAATTATGGGTAATCAGCCCTGTGCTTCTGAGTCAGCAGCTCAATCAAACCCTTTAAGGTGACAGGTTGCAGCACCGCCTCCTCCCTCCAAGCCTCCGCACTGGGAGCCTGCTCCGCCCTGCTGAGGGCTCACTTCTCAAGAGCATCAGGATATGCCAGATGCAGCATTCTCCCACCTCCCTGCCACCCACTCTCATCCCTCCCTTTCCTCCTGCACTCCTCAGTCTGAAGAGACTTTAGTGGAGATCAAGTCCAAGGGGCAAGAGGCCAGCTGAGCTTCTCAGTCTAACAGACAGTGGGGGAGGAGCCACCTAGGCACAGGAAGAGATAGGCGCTGAGCAGATAGCAGGCGTCACATGCAGACCCTCTCAGGGTGGGGCCACTGGGAGCCACAGGGCACAACCTGGGGGCAGCTTTCAGTGAAAAGCTGCCTCTCCCCAACATTCCAGCTATCCAAACAACTAGACTCTTTATTCAGCGTCTCCTAGGCCTACTGGGCTCCTCAGACTAAATTTGCCTTCTGCACATTCCCTGAGGGTTTTAATAACCTACCAGTAAGAACAACAAGTCCATTTCTACTAACCTAATAAGTCAAGCCAAGGTGGAAATACCTTTCAAGGGCCTCTCCCTTCCCAACTCAGCTGGACTTTCATTGCAGAAGGAAGCAAAGTTAAATTTGGGTTTGCTGTCAAGATGCACTTAACTATTTAGTTTTGCCAAGGAAGGGGGTGGGGGGATCACAGCTGGCAAGGCAGAATGTTCCATTCCCAGGCACTCAGGGGTTCAGAATTCTTTCCTACCATCTCACGTGCTGGCTTGTAGGATTCCTGCCAGCTGCTGACCTCCCGGGACCTGCTCCGGAGGCCTTGCCAGGCACGTACCACCTCATGAGACTGCAGGTCCTTGAGGAGGACACCAGGGCCTGCTTGGGCTTGCTCTGTCACCAACTACAGTTTACAGGGTAATCCCACATGGGGCATCCTCCAAGTACAGGGATACCGGTAACAAAGGAGACCAGATAGGAGGGAGCTCCCAGAAGCTCACAGTCCAGACAGGATCATCAGCGGTTCAGACAGAAGCCAGTCTCTCTCTGGCCCCTCCATCTCCACTCCCAGCCCAGCAGTTATGTCCATCCAGCCTTTCCATTCTCTCCTGGCCCAAGAAAAGTTTCTCTTTTCCCAGTTCCTACTCATGAAAACCTAAATATAGTGAACTTGATTCATTGGCTGATAGATTCACCTGTAGGGAGAAAAATTTTTGTTCATTTTTGGGGAATGGAAAGAAGGGGAAGACAGGGCAGAAACAGCATTTTGAGTTCCTTCTATCCTATGTTAGTTATCCTGGTGTTTGGAAGGTACCCCAATACCTGAGCTTGCAACTGGAAGGACTTGGGTTTGAATCCCAACTTGCCTTGTGTTGACTGTTTAGCTCTGGGCAAGCTGTTTAGCATCCCCAGGCCTCTGTAGCTAGAACTGTAAAGCGGGGACAAGGATTCCTTCCTTCAAGGGCTTCTGCAAAGACTAAGGTGACTGCAAAAGTAATTGCGGTGTTCTTATTATTGGAATTTGCTGTTTGATTTTGGAATACATTCTTATATAAATGTGGTTATGTTATACATCCTTTTAATGGGAATTTCTTGCTTTTTTTTTGCTAATGACATATTACTTGCTGTTTATTTTGTGTTTATTTTAGACTATGGAAATGATATTAGACAAAAAGCAAATTTGAGTAATTTTCTTATTCGAATTCAAAATAAGTCATAGAGCAACGGAGACAACTCACAACATCAACAACACATTTGGCCCAGGAGCTGCTAACGAACGAATGTACAATGCAGTGGTGGTTCAAGAAGTTTCACAAAGGAGACGAGAAGCTTGAAGATGAGAAAGTAGGGGCTGGCCTTCAGAAGCTGACAATGACCAATTAAGAGCAATCATCGAAGCTGATCCTCTTACAACTACACGAGAAGTTGCCCAAGAACTCAACTTCGATCATTCTACAGTCGTTTGGCATTTGAAGCAAATTGGAAAGGTGAAAAAGCTTGATAAGTGGGTGCCTCATGAGCTGAGCGAAAATAAAAAAATCGTCATTTTGAAGCGTCATCTTCTCTTATTCTGTGCAACAACAAGGAACTGTTTCTCGATTGGATTGTGATGTGTGAGGAAAAGTGGATTTTATACAACTGGTGACGACTGGCTCAGTGGGTGGACTGAGAAGAAGCTCCAAAACACTTCCCAAAGACAAACTTGTGCCAAAAAAAGGTCATGGATTTTTAGTGGTCTGCTGCTGGTCTGACCCACTATAGCTTTTGAATCCCAGTGAAACCATCACATCTGAGAAGTATGCTCAGCACATCGATGAGATACACCGAAAACTGCAATGCCTGCAGCCAGCATTGGTCAACAGAAAGGGCCCAATTCTTTCACAACAATGCCCGATCGCACGTCGCACAACCAACTCCTCAAAAGTTGAACAAATAGGGCTATGAAGTTTTGCCTCATCCACCAGATTCACCTGACTTCTTGCTAACCGACTACTACTTCTTCAAGCATCTTGACAACTTTTTGCAGGGAAAATGCTTCCACAACCAGTAGGATGCAGAAAATGCTTTCTGAGAAGTCCGTCGAATCCTGAAGCATGGATTTTTATGCTACAAGAATAAACAAACTTATTTCTTGTTAGCAAAAATGTGTTGCTTCTAATGGTTTCTATTTTGATTAATAAAGATGTGTTTGAGCCTAGTTATGATTTAAAATTCACGGCCCAAATTCACAATTTACTTTTGCACCAACCTTAATAAATAAGATGCAGGCAAACTTAACCCTTACAATCTCAGTAGTAAACTGTTAACAGTACAAAATTCCTTTCCCTTCCTCAAAATGTGGATATTGTGATCTGTATTTTAACAGATGAAGAAACTGAACTATTCCAGCCTGGGCAATATGGCAAAATCCTGTCTCTACAAAAAAATACAAAAATTAGCTGGGCATGGTGGCACATGCCTGTAGTCCCAGCTACTCGGGAGACTGAGGCGGGAGGATTGCTTGAGCAGGGGAGGCAAAGGTTGCAGTGAGCCAAGATTGCAACACTGCATTCCAGCTTGGGTGACGGAGCAAAACCCTGTCTCAGAAAAAGAAACGTAACTACAAAGAGATTAAATCATATTATGCCAACAGAGGAAATGTCTAAGAGATGTTGCAAGCCTGAAAGCTGAGCCCTGGCGGAAGGGTGAGTCTCCAGCGATGTCTAGGAATTTGGAGTTTGTCGAGGTGGGTCTTCACTCTTGGTAACCCTTGGGCCATTCAGCTTGGTTACTTGCAACCCTAGTTACAAGCAGGTTAGACCTCTCTATGCCAACAAGTTTGTGCCCATTCCTCTGCTAGATATCATAGGAGGATTTAAAAAGGAGTCCCAAACAGTCCCAGGCTGGCTGGCCCCCAGGCCGGGCAAACCAGACCGGCCGATCACTTTAGTTCTCATATTCACAGAATTTACAATCTTACTGGAAAACAAGACTGACACTCGTTGCTCAGAGAGGACCACTGAATGGGGCTTCTGGAAAAGGAACTAATACTTAAGTGCTGTTTACAAATCTTGGGCTGAGTGCCATTTCAGGATGACCCACTGAACACAAGCTACAGCTTTCTCTTTTGGCTCAAGTCCTTCAAATCACAGTAGGGAGAAACACATTTTTAGTGTCAGAATTTATTGAGGCATAACTTACCTATAAAAATTCATTCCTTTTATAAGCTTATGGCTTTTGACAAACGCATACAGTTATATAATCCCCATAATAGAGATAAAACATTTCCATCACACCCGCAAGTTCTCTCCTGTCCCTTTGCAGTCAATTCCCTCCCCGCAGCTCCCAGCCACTGGCAACCACAAATCTGATTTCTGTCCTTACAGTTTTGCCTTTTCCAAAATGCCGTTTGGCAGGATTTATATAAGGGAACTTTTTGAGTCTGGCTTCTTTTACTTAGCATAATGCTTTTGAGATTCACCTATGTTGTGTATATCTGAAGCTTTTTTTTTTTCTAAGTTGTGTTCCATTGTATCAAAGTGTGATGATTGTTGCCAGGTGCAGTGGCTCACTCCTATAATCCCAGCATTTTGGGAGGCTGAGGTAGGAGGATCACCTTGAGGCTAGGAGTTGGAGGCCAGCCTGGGCAACATAGACTTCCTCTCTACAAAAATAAAAGTATGTATATATATACATATTTTTTTAAAGTTGTCATGATTTGTTTATCCATTCACCAATTGATGGGCATGGGGATTGTTTCTAGTTTCTGGTGATTATAAATACAATAACTACAAATATTCACAAACAGATCTTTGTGTGGACATAAGTTTTCATTTCTCCTGTGTAAATGCCTAAGAGCAGGATTGCTGGTTTATAAGGTAAGCATATATTGAACTTTGTTAAAAATTGCCAAATTTATTTTCAAAGAGGCTGTACAATTTTGCGTTCTCATCAGTAATGAATGAGAGTTCCAGTTGCCCTAGCTCCTCACCAGCACCTTTTAATTTTGGTCATTCCAGTGGATGGGTAGTGGTATCTCATTCTGGTTTTAATTTGCATTTCCCTAAAGCTAATGATGGCCAGGTGCATTGGTACATGCCTGTAATCCCAGCATTTTGGGAAGCAAAGGCAGGAAGATCGCTTGAGCCTGGGAGTTTCAGACCAGCCTGGGCAACATAGGGAGACCCCATCTCTACAAAAAAATTAAAATGGAAGAATTGGCTGGGACCACAAGCATGCATGGTGGTGCACACCTATGGTCCCAGTTACTTGGGGTCCCAGGCTAAGGTGGGAGGATTGCTTGAGCCTGGAAGGTCAAGGCTTCAGTAGGTTGTGATTGCACCACTGCACTCTAGCCTGGGTGACAGAGTGAGACTCTGGGTGGGGGGGAAATAAAGAAGAATGATGTTGAACAGCTTTTCATGTGCTTATTTGTCATGCATACCCTTTATTTGAGGAAGAGTCTGTTTAAATATTTTCCTCACTTAAAAAAATGAATTATTTAAGGCTAGATGTGGTGGCTCAAGCCTGTAATCTCAGCTCTTTGTGAGGCCGAGCCAAGGCAGAAGGATGGCTTGAGACCAGGAGTTCAAGACCAGCCTGGGCAACATAGTGAGATCCCGTCTCTCCAAAAATTTAAAAATTAGCCAGGCATGGTGGCTCATGCCTGTGGTCTCAGCTACTTGGGAGGCTGAGGCAGGAGCCTTGAACTCAGAGGTTCAAGGCTGCAGTGAACTCTGATCATGCCACTGTATTCCACCCTGGGCAACAGGGCGAGATCCTGTCTCTTAAAAGAAAAGAAATTGAATCTTTGGTTCTAGTTATTATATTTGAAGAGTTTTTTTTAACATATTCTTCCAAGTCCTTTATCAGATATGTGTTTTGCAAATATCTCTTCCTAGTGTATAGATTATCTTTTCATTTTCTTGACAAGTGTCTTCTGAAGAACAGATCTGCATTTTAATGAAGCCAAATTTATCCATTTTTTTCTTTTGTGGTTCATGCTTTTGTAAGAAATCTTTGCTTAATCTAAGATACTAGAGATACTGTGTTTTCTTGCAAATGTTTCATAGTTTTAGCTTTAGCATTTGAAAATACAACTCAAAAATAAAATAAATCTGCAATCAAGCTCAAAACAAAAGAGAAACCCCTACTGGGTCAGAAATTGTATGAGATCCCTGAAGGGCAGAAAGCATATGGGATTGGAAAGAAGGTTACTGTTCTCACAAGAAGGTGGGATCAAAAAGGCTCCACCCTGGAGGAAGTAGAGTAGGTAGAGTGTGAGAGAGCCGGGGGCTTGAACCTCCACAGACCCTCTCAGCTACTCCTCCCTCTCTGCTCATCTCCATCTAGACACATGGTAGTAAATTACAGAACACCAAAGAGAAAATTCTATATCCTTCCCTGGAGGTAAAAAACTATTATCTATAAAGGAAAGAAAGGCAGATTGAGATGAGCTCTCATCAGCTATGTTAGATGTAAGAAGACAAACACAGAGCTGGGCTACTGAAAGAGGCTGAGGTGGGAGGATCACTTGAGCTCACGAATGTGAGCCTGTAGTGTGCCTGTGACTAGCCACTACACTCCAGCCTGGGCAACACAGTGAATTCTCTAAAAAAAAAAATTTTTTTTTTTTGAAGCAGAGTCTCACTCTGTCACCCAGGCTGGAATGCAGTGGTGTGATCTCAGCTCACTGCAACTTCTGCCTCCTGCGTTCAAGTGATTCTTGTGCCTCAGCCTCCAGAATAGCTAGGATTACAGGTGCGCACCACCATGTCCAGCTAATTTGTGTATTTTTACTAGAGACATGGTTTCACCATGTTGGCCAGGCTGGTCTCGAACTCCTGACCTCAGGTGATCCGCCTGCCTTGGCCTCTCAAAGTGCTGGGATTACAGGCGTGAGCCACCTGCATCCGGCCAAAAAAAATTTTTTTAAGAAAGACAAACAATACCTCTTCAGACATTAAGGGGAAATAAACCTAGAATTTCATGTCCAGCCAAACTAGACTCTTTATGAAATAAAGACACATTCCAATAAGAAGAAAAATGTATCTGTGAGGAATAAGTGAGTTTCAAGAAGTAGTGAGATGAGGCTGGGTAGGGTGGCTCCTGCCTGTAATCCCAGCACTTTGGGAGGCTGAGGTGGGCGGATCACCCGAAGTCAGGAGTTCAAGACCAGCCTGGCCAACATGGTGAAACCCCATCTCTACTAAAAGTATAAAATTAGCCTTTTGTACTAAAAGTACAAAAGGTGTGGTGCTGGGTGCCTGTAACCCCAGCTACTCAGGAGGCTGAGGCAGAAGAATCGCTTGAACCCGGGAGGTGGAGGTTGCAGTGAGCAGAGATCACACCACTGCACTCCAGCCTGGGTGACAGAGGGAGATAGAAAAAAAGAAAAAGATCCCCCAAAAAAAGAAGTAGTGAGGTGAAATATATGTGTATATGTGTACATACACAAAAACATATGTATGTGGGTATATTTATTTATATATATGTGTATTTATTTGTATATATAGGTTTTGTGTTGTTATCTATATGTAGGAATATATAAATGCTTATTATAAAAAAACAAAAACTTCTAAAACTAAATCTGTGATAAATTGGTAATTACCCTTGGTAATATCAATATGGATGAAATGAAAAGACACCTGTGTTCATGGACTGGAAGATGTGTTTGTTTATTTGTTTGAGACACAGTCTCACTTTGTCGCCCGAGCTGTAGTGCAGTGGGGCTATCTCAGCTCACTGCAACCTCCGCCTCCCGGGTTCAAGTGATTCTCCTGCCTCAGCCTCCCGAGTAGCTGGAATTACAGGTGCACACCACCACCTCTGGCTAATTTTTGTATTTTTAGTAGAGACAGGGTTTTGCCATGTTGGCCAGGCTAGTCTCAAACTCCTGACCTCAAACGATCCACCCATCTCAGCCTTCCAAAGTGCTGGGAATACAGGTGTCAGCCATCGCGCCCGGCTGCTGGGAAGATTTTAATTTTTAAATTTGGTTTCATTTTCCCTGAGGCCTCTTCCCTTGGTTGCAGGCGGACATCTTATTGTGTTCTCATATGGCCTTTTCTCTGTGCCTATGCATCCCTAGTGTCTTTCTTTCTCTCTTTCTTTTTTTTTTTTTAATGACAGGGTCTCCTTATGTTGCCCAGACTGGTCCTGAACTCCTGGGCTCAAGGGATCCTCCTGCCTTGGCCTCCCAAAGTGGCAGGATTATAGGCATGAGCCACCACGCCTGGCTGTTTCTTTTTATAACGACACTAGTCATATTGGATTAGGGTCCTATACTATGGGTCTCATTTTAACTTAGTCACTTCTGTAAAGACTTATCTCCAAAGACAGTCACATGGATTAGGGACCCAACCTACTCCCCTATGACCTAATTTAACCTTAACTATCTTTTTAAATGTTCTATCTCCAAATATGGTTACATTCTGAGGTGTTGGGTGTCAGGACTTCAACATATGAATTATTGGGGGACAAAAATTCAGCCCATAACACTATTCAGTGAGGGAAAGAACACTCTTTTCAACAAATAGTTTTGGGAAAACTGGATATCCACAGACAAAAGAATGAAGTTGGACCCTTATCTTACGCCACATACAAAAATTAACTCAAAATGGATCAAAGACCTATGTGTAGGAACTAAAAATAAAACTATAAAAGTCTTAGAAGGAAACATAGGGAAAAACCTTTGTGACATTGGATTTGGTGACGATTTCTTATGACACCAAAAGCACAGGCAACCAAAAAAATATATATAACTTGGACTTCATCAAAATTTAACTTACACATCAAAATGCACTGCTATGGTTTGAATGTGTCTCCTCCAAAATTCAGGTGTTGCCAATGTGATGGTATTAAGACATGGGACCTAAGAGGTGAGTAGATCATGAGAGTTCCTCCCTCAGGAATGGGCTTAAGGCCTTTATAAAAGAGGCTTCAGGGCCGGGCGTGGTGGCTCATGCCTGTAATCCCAGCACTTTGGGAGGCCGAGGCGGGTGGATCACCTGAGTTCAGGAGTTTGAGACCAACCTGGCCAACATGGTGAAACCCTGTCTCTACTAAAAATACAAAAATTAGCCGGGCGTGGTAGTGGGCACCTGTAATCCCAGCTGCTCAGGAGCCTGAGGCAGGAGAATCGCTTGAGCCCAGGAGGTAGAGGTTGCAGTGAGATGAGATTATGCCACTGCACTCCAGCCTGGGTGACAGAGCGAGATAACTTCTTAAAAAAAAAAAAAAAAAAAAAAAAGAGGCTTCATACAGCATTGGGCTCTGTCGCCCTTCTGCCTTGGGCCAAGTTCTTCTGATGCACCCCATTCTTCCCTTAACCTACCCTTAGGACCACATGGGAAGTTCTGCATGACCTGAGAAAGAAAAAAATTCAAGTCTGCATAAGGATGGTTCCTCATGGTATGTGGCATTAGCTGGAAGTGGACTGGCTTCCAAAGCATCACAGCTTTTTGCTCAGGGTGGGTTAGAAAAGACAGGAGTTACTGAAACACAGCATTACTCCTCCCCTCTGGAGGACGAGCAACATGGCACCCTCCTGGAAAAAGAGAGCTGCCCTCACCAGACACCAAACCTGGCAGTGCCTTCATTTAGGACTTAGCAGCCTACAGAACTGTAAGAAAATAAATTTCTGTTTTTTATAAATTATCCAGTCTCAGACATTTTGCTATAGCAGCACAAACAGACAAAGACAGGCAATATCAAGAGAATAAAAAGACAACCCAAAGAATGGGAGAAAATATTTGCAAATCATATAGCTGGTAAGGGATTAATGTGCAAATTGTAGAAAGAATTTCTAAAACTCAAACAAAAGACAAACAACTCAATTAAAAAATGGGCAAAGGGCCAGGTGCGGTGGCTCATGACTTTAATCTCAGCCCTCTGGGAGGCCAAGGCAGGAGGATCACGTGAGCCCAGTAGTTGGAGATGGCAAAACCCCGTGTCTACGAAAAATACAAAAAAATTATCCAGTCATGGTGGTGCGTGCTTGAAGTCCCAGCTACCTGAGAGTCTGAGCTGGGAGGATCACCTCAGCCCAGGGAGATCAAGGCTGCAGTGAGCTGTGATCACGCCACTGCAATCCAGCCTGGGCGATAGAGTGAGACCTCATCTGAAAAATAGTGGGCAAAGGACTTGAACAGCATTTCTCTAAAGAAGATATACAAATGTCCAATAAGCACATGAAAAGATACTCAACATCACTAGTCACTAACAAGCTGCAGATCAAAACCACAATGAGATACCACTTCACCCACACATTAAGATGGCTATCAGCTGTGACTCCCTGGATATCCACAGAAGCATTTGATAGGGAGCAAATGATTCTGCAAACACAAAATGCACATGTCAAACCAAACCATGTGAATCTGCATTCTTAAAACACATACAATGCAGATTTTCTTGAAACGGTGATCTCTTTTGCCACATTTAAAACAGATTTCTGGCCAGGTGTGCAGGTTCACACCTGTAGTTCCAGCAGTTTCGGAGTCTGAGGCAGGCAGATCACTTGAGGCCAGGAGTTTGAGACCAGCCCAGGCGACATGGTGAAACCCATCTCTACTAAAAATACAAAACGTTAGCTGGGTGTGGTGGCACATGCCTGTAGTCCCAGCTACTTAGGGGACTGAGGCATGAGAATAGCTTGAACCCGGGAGGCAGAGGTTGCAGAGGGCCAAGATGGCACCACTGCACTCCAGGCCTGGTTGACAGAGCAAGACCCTGTCTCAAGAAAAGAAAAAAAAAAAAAAGAAAGAAAGGAAAGGAAATAAAATGAAACAGGTTTCCGTTCACCGGACTCCATCTGCAAATGACCTCCCTAAGGAATGGCACAAGGAGAATGGGAAGCACTACTGTAACAGCACAAGAAATCAGAAGTTGATTAATTTAACTGGCTTATCTGATATGGCTCCACCCCCACACCCAACCTAGTTCCTCCAATGCATATGGACATCAAGCTGCCCATTTTCAGTTGCGATTCTGGATGTCCACAGACCACAATTTCATCAATATGAAATTCTACTAGCACGCAAGTTCTCAAGAAGGTAAAAATAATCACAGCGATTATCTACTGAGCTTCCACTAAGTGTGGGCTCTGTGCTAGCCACGCCCTCCGCATCACCATACTCTTAGTTGCCTAAGATGTTAAGTGTGAATGTCCTCCTTTTGCAGGTCAGTAACTTGCTCGAAGTAGCGTAACTCATAAATGCCAGGGTGAGCACTTAAATCAGTTCTCTGGTTCCAAAGTCCCTGTTCTCACTCGCTGCATTCAGCAGGCTCTCATTTTTCCAGGAAGGCAAAAATCAAGCTGGAAGATCCCCACTCCTGGGATCAAAGCATTTGCTCAAAGCTCCACGAGTCCAGGAAGTGATATATTGACATCAAGGTCAGGCTTTGAGAAATAGCCCCTTCTATTACCCTGCAGAGCATCCGAGGGATGTGGAAAACCTTGAGGCTAGAGCTTGTCAACCCACAGAATGCACTGAGTTATAAGGGCAATTGCCATCATTACACAACAAATCAGAACTTCACAAAGCCAGCCCTGCTCCTCGGGGTTGCTTCAACCCCAGGCATTAGTGACCCAGCAAAGGACTGGTGCCTGCTTAAGGGGAAGCCCAAATGTTAGAAATATTTGCTTTGGGCAAGAGAGAGTCTTCACAGTCTAATCAAAAGATGAAGAAATTGTTTCCAGAAACTCAGACTTTCCTCCAGGGCATCTCCTTCTGTCCTGCAAGAGCTGATTGGCTCCCACTCCAGGGCCTTTGCCCCTGCTATTCTCTCTGCCTGGAAGGCTCTTACCCCAGAAATCTGAGGAGTGTGCCTCCCCACTTTAGCTCTCTACTCAAATGTCTCTTTCTTATTCATTGAGGCTTTCCTGGATATTATATCTAAAATGATAACAACCCATCCCCATCCACATACACTCACTTATTCTCTTTCCCTGCTTTATTTTTTTTTCTCCTTAGAATTTATCACTATCAAATCTAATCTACATTTCACTTCTTTATCTTATTATCTCTATACCCTACTAGAATGTACATTTCACAAAGGCAGGGATTTTTGTCTGTGTTCACTGCTTTTTCTCCTAACACTTAGAACAGTGCCTGTCGCCTAATAGGGGTTCAATAAATATTTGGTGAATGCATAAATCAATCTGTGCTTCAGAGGAGAGCAGTGACATCCTGGAAAACTCCCTCAAGGTTTAATTGTGGCATGAAGGGAAACATCAAGAGATTTTGAAGCCTGGATTTGCATCTAGGCCTAGCCAGGTGAATAATACTTAATCTCACTAGGCCTCATTTTGTGGTTGGTTAGGAGAAAATAATATTTGCCTCCTGGGATTATAGTGGAGGGACCATTAATAATATTTCTAGGGAAAGGAAATGGGGAAAATGCTTGTGACATTTCCATGGAAGCAATAAGAGAATTTTGTTACCATGTGTGGGTCAAAATTTATTGAGCATTTATTTAATACTGGGTCCCATGCCAAGACCGTACATGCATTTCTTCAATCCTTATGACAATCTTGTGTAGCATGTACGTGATCTCTTTAGGGATATTTATCAAAGTGATTTGCCCAGGGTGATAAAGTTAGAAAGCAGGACAGGACTCCTAACCTAATCTGTCTCTAAAATCCGTGCCCTAACCACCGCACCAGATGTAGAGTTAACTTGTGTGCATAAAATGCTGGACCCTGGGAAAGTGGTGCTCTACCAATGTCCCTTTACTTTCCCTCCCAGCCTTCAGCCAAGTGGCTTCTGACCAATAATACCAAGGTGCTGCCCCTGCCACTGAAAAAGACAAGGGGCAACCAGGAGCCCTATGGATGACCACCTCCTTTACCCCTCCCTGCCTGGTGACTTGCTGTAGCCTTCAGCATTAAGGTATACTTTCATCACCCCACCCCTACCCAAGGTACCAGTACTGGGTATCTTGTCACTTTTCTGGGATTTTGCTTGTTTGTTTGTTTGTTTGTTTTGCTGTTGTTGTTGTTTTGAGACAGGGTCTCACTCTGTCACCCAGGCTGGAGTGCAGTGGCACAATCGTGTCTTACTGCAGCCTCCACTTTCTAGGTTCAAGTGATCCTCCTGCCTCAGCCTCCTGAGTAGCTGGGACTACAGGTATGCACCACCACACCCAGCTAATTTTTGGTTTTTTTTTTTTCGTAGAGATGGGGTCCCACCGTGTTGCCTAGGCTGGTCTCTCAAACTCTTGGGCTCAAGCGATCTTCCCACCTCAGCCTCGAAAAGTGCTGGGATTACAGGTGTGGGCCACTGTGCCCAGCCCCCTGTCACTTTTGCATAGAGTAAGTGATTTATAAGGGAACAATATTTTTACTTTAGAGCAATCTATCATTAAAATTGTTCTATATGCTCTGTCTAAATGTAAACTTTTCAACTTTTTGATATTAACAAGTGTCAAAAGTTATTCAACTGACTTTCATTTATTTGAACAAAAAAGTATATGTAGACTCATACGTACACGTTTAATATGTGTGTATATATATGTATATGTGTGTATATATATATAATTTAAAAATGTAGGTTGGCCATGTGTCCCGGCATCACAAATAGACAAAAAGGCTGAGTGTGGTGGCTCATGCCTGTAAACCCAGCACTTTGGGAGGCCGAGGCGGGCGGATCACCTGAGGTCAGGAGAGCAGCCTGACCAACATGGTGAAACCCTGCCTCTACTAAAAATACAAAAATTAGCCAGGCAAGGGGAGGCTGAGGCAGGAGAATCACTTGAATCCGGGAGGCGGAGATTGCAGTGAGCTGAGATTATGCCACTGCACTCCAGCCTAGGCAACAGAGCAAGACTCTGTCTCAGAAAGAAAAAAAAAAAAAAAAAGACAAAAAGTGCTTTTAAGACCTAATGTATACACTCAATAAAATTAACTATTTTTAAAAAAATACATACAAAATGCTAGTGCTTTGCTTTTTTTTTTGAGACGGAGTCTCACTCTGCTGCCCAGGCTGGAGTGCAGTGGCGTGATCTCGGCTCACTGCAACCTCCGCCTCCTCCCAGATTCAAGCGATTCTCCTGCTTCAGCCTCCTGAGTAGCTGGGACTACAGGTGCCCACCACCATGCCTGGCTAATTTTTGTATTTTTAGTAGAGATGGAGTTTCACCATATTGGCCAGGATGGTCTCGATCTCCTGACCTCGTGATCCACCCATCTCGGCCTCCCAAAGTGCTGGGATTACAGGCATGAGCCACTGCACCCTGCCATATTTTCTTTCAATGATGAGGCAAGAGAGAAGGTTTCACATGGCCCTGTGCAAGCCCTTTTCCACAAATCCCACACAAGGCAAGAGCAGTCTACGCCAGTAAATGAAAAGCCACATTGGATAGAATGAGCACCATCTTTTCTGTTTTGTGCATTGAATGTTGAATGAGTGTAGACATTTTCATGTCCTACAAAATAAGAGTTATCAAATGAATGTCACACGGTGATCAAATAGGTGTGACTTGTCCCAAAGTTATAATGAAGAGACGGAAAACACAATTTAAGACTTGAAGATGGCTGGGTGTGGTGGCTCACACCTTGTCATCTCAACAGTTTGGGAGGCTGAGGTGGGCAGATAACTTGAGGTCAGGAGTTCGAGACCAGCCTTGCCAACATGGCAAAACCCCATCTCTACAAAAAATACAAATATTAGCCAGGTGTGGTGGTGCACACCTGTAATCCCAGCTACTTGGGAGGCTGAGACATGAGAATTGCTTGAACCCAGGAGGCAGAGGTTGCAGTGAGCTGAGATTGTGCCACTGCACCCAAACCTAGGTGACAGAGGGAGACCCTGTCTCAAAAAAAAAAAAAAAAAAATACTCTAAGACAATCAAAGCTCCCAGAGCAGCTAGCAGTGTTCCGGAATGCCTGAGCTGCTGACTTGGAATTGTTCACTTGTTTCACCCACTCCACAGCATGTTCCCTCTGTGCACACTCAAGACGTTCTCAGGCAGCTCAGTTTTCAAGAAAAACATTGCTGGAAATTATCCATTGATTACAACAACAACAACAAAATCAGTGGAAGTGGATGTCTTCCATTAGGTGCCACACACCTAAACATTGTGGCAACACCTAACCGCCCATTCCTTCTATAGCCCACACACAGTCCTTGGGAACTGCCTCCCTGGAATTACAGGTAGATGGGGCCAGGCCTGCAGGGTCAGTGAGGTGGAAAACCACATCTCTTCCCAGATAGCCCTTCCTTTCTAGGCAAACCCTCCTCTTTCATCCTGGTCCATCCCTTGGGCCACTCTGCTGGGGTGAGAGTGGGGGACGACAGATCCCTGGAGGAGAAAAGAGCTGGCAGGGAGGGTGAGCTGCAGGTCACTTCATCAGGAGTCTCTCTGAGGGAGGGACATATAGACATCCCTGCTTGGAAGCTCTCTTGGAGATTCCACTCAGCCAAAAACTCTAAGAAGGCAGAGGCTGTGTCTATTTTATATATTATATACCCAGTGCTTAACATAAGGTGCTCAGTAAATATTTTAAGAAGGAAGAGGCTGGGCACAGTGGCTCATGCCTGTAATCCCAGCGCTTTGGAAGGTCAAGGTGGGAGGATCACTTGAGCCCGGGAGTTCAAGACCAGCCTGGGAAATATAGCAAGAGTCCTGTCTCAAAAAAAATTTTAAATTAAAATTTAAAAAATAAAAGAAGAAAGGAAGGGAGGGAGGAAGTAGAAGAGAGAGAGAGAGAGGGAAGCAGAAAGATGAGGAGAAGAAAGGGAACTTACAAGGAGGGGGTATAGACCACAAGTTGGACATGTGGTAGAATGTCCCAAATAGGAGAGGCTCCCATTATTGTTCCAAAGGGAAAGGAAATGGAGGACATGTTTGTGACATTTCAATGGAAGCAATAAGAGAATTTTTCAACTCAGGGTTGGCTATAGGAAAAGCAGTATAGACAGCATATGTATGATATGATTGGAGGAAGCCCCTGCCCTCCCATGTTTTGTCCCCTGGTGTGCCCTGTCATCACTTCTCTGGCACTACCAATGAGTGTGTATAGACCTTGGCTGCAGAGACCTCAGGCCCTATCTATGATTCCTGGGAGCGACCATCTTGCTCTCGCCCACTTTCACTCATTTGTTGGATGTGACTGAGTGATTGATGGAGTGGAGAGTCTGTCAGGGTGAATCATGGGCAGGGGAGGGAAATATGAGTTCCACCCCTCATTTTACAGATGGGTAAACTGGCCCAAAGAGGAAAACCAACTTGCCCATGGTTACAGTTAGGGGAAGAGCAAGGACCAGGACCCAAGCATCTGGGCGCCTTGTGCAGGATTCTTTCCACTGTGCCACACCACTGCCCCTTAAAAGGACTTCTCATAAAATCTCCCATTTCAGCCGGAAGGGTCTCAAGAGGTTATCAGGTCCAAGCTCTGCCCTTAGCAGAAATCACCACCAAGGATTCCAGCGACAAGAGGGCAGGCAGCATGTGCCCAAACACTGTTGGTGACGGGAACACCTAACCACCCATTCCTTCCACAGCCCACACAAATTGTTGCAATGTTCTTCTTGTTTTGAGCTACAACCATTTCTCTAAAGGAAACAAGCTACTGCTTTTCCTCCCCAAGTTCTTTCCTCATAAAAGTACAAATCCCATAATAGATCACTAGGTAAACACCTGTTTGCCCTCAAGACACCCCTATCTTCTGCAGGTAGTGTTTGTAACTAGAGTTACCTGGGAGTAAAAGAAGACTAATGATTTTTTAAAAGAGAGAGAAGTGTGGTACCATTGAAGGGAAATGGATTAATCAAGGTCTTAAGGATCACTAATTGGGCTTAGGAAGAGAGAGAGGAGAAGAAGGAGAAAAGAGAAGAGAGGAAATAAGGGGGAAAGAAAGAAATAGGAAGGGAATAAAATAGATGGGTAACATATATTGAGCACTTAATAAGGAGCAGGCACTGTTCAAACTGCTTTACTTATATTGATTCATTTAATCTTTAGGATAACCCTCTAAGAGAATTACTATTATTATCCTCATTTTTCAAATAAGGAAATAAGGCAGAAAGTTTAAGTACCTTACCCAAGGTCACAGTCAGTGAGCCTGGAATTTGAACCCAGGCAGTCTGACTCTAGGACTACACACTTGCTGAATGTGTGGTGAATGTTGCTGAATGTGTGGTGCCCCCATTGATTGGGGCCTGTGCCAGGTACTCTACAGAGTTAATGCCAGAGCTCAGAGCACAGACCGTGTGAAGACAGAACTGGGTTCAAATCCTGGTTCTCCACTTACCTGTTCTACGGAAGTCACTCAATTATCTTATCCTCAATTTCCTTACCTATAAATTGGAGTTAATAATCCATTTAAAAGTAAAAAAAAAAAAACAGGCTGGGGGTGGTGGCTCACACCTATAATCCCAGCACTTTGGGAGGCTGAGGCGGGTGGATCACCTGAGGTCAGGAGTTTGAGAACAGCCTGGCCAATATGGCGAAACCTCGCCTCTACTAAAAAAAGAAAAATACAAAAATTAGCCGGGCGTGGTGGCAGGTGCCTATAATCCCAGCTACTCAGGAGGCTGAGGGAGGAGAATTGCTTGAACCCGGTGGCCCGAGGTTGCAGTGAGCCAAGATCGTGCCACTGCACTCCAGCCTGGGCGAAAGAGCGAAACTCTGTCTCAAAAAATAAAATAAAATAAAAAGTAAAAAAATAACAAAGAGGCCAGGCGCGGTGGCTCACACTTGTAATCCCAGCACTTTGGGAGGCTGAGGCGGGTGGATCACCTTAGGTCATGGAATTCGAGACCTGCCTGACCAATATGAAGAAACCCTGTCCCTACTAAAAATACAAAATTAGCTGGGCGTGGTGACGCACATCTGTAATCCCAGCTACTTGGGAGGCTGAGGCAGGAGAATCACTTGAACCCGGGAGGTGGAGGTTGCGGTGAGCCGAGATCGTGCCACTGCACTCCAGCCTGGGTGACAAGAGTAAAACTCCATCTCAAAACAAAAAACAAAAAAAAACAAAAACAAAGAGAAAAAATAATAATAATAGTATTTAATTCACAGAGGGATCGTGAGGATTACATGGGCTAAAACATTTAGCACAGTTCTGGGACACATTATGTGGTAGATAAATTTTAGTTTTTTGTCTCATGTAATCCTCACAAGGGGATTGGAAGATTTTTTGGTTTCATGTAATCCTTGCAATGCATTCCATAAAGGATGCGTTTTCCCTATTTCACAGACTTGAAAACTGAGAGTCCAAGAGGTAACCAACCTGCCAAGGTCTTATGCCTAATAGGCGTGGGGATTGGAAGTACAGGATAAAGGACCAAGGACGAAAGGAGGAGGGGGCAGACTTGAAATGGGACAAAAAAGAAAATCTAAGAAGAGCCTGCTATGGTGAATGCCACTTCACAGACATCTCAGGAGGCCTCAGGAGGTTTCAGGATGACTGTCTCTAATACAGAGGATGAGGGAGTTCTCACGGGAGCTCTGAGTTCAGACTGGGGCTCATTGAGGAAGCTTGGGCTCCCACCAAATCCCTTAAGGATTTGCCCCTTAAGCTTGGTATCTCACCACACGACCACACGTATAAAGAAAATTGCTTGTTGTATTTCACTATTTAACCTTAACCTCTCCTTCCTACCTTAAAACCACAAATCAATGTTTCATGAACTTACTTATGCAACATAAACTGTTGCATAAGCATTAAACAAAATGTTATACCACCAGAGCAGTGGCTCCTGCCTGTAATCCCAGCACTTTGGGATGCTGAGGCAGGAGGACCATTTGAGATCAGGAGTTCAAGACCAGCCTGGGCAATATGGTGAAACCCCATCTCTACCAAAAAAATATAAAAATTAGCCATGCATGGTGGTGCATGCCTGTGGTCCCAGCTAGTCAGGAGACTAGAGGTGGGAGAATCGCTTGAACCCGGGAGGTGAGGCTGCAGTGAGAGGAGATCGCACCAGTGTGCACTCCTGCCTGGGCTACAGATTGAGACCCTGTCTCAAAAAACAACAACAACAACAACAAAAGAAAACTGTTATACCACCATTTACAATTGAACTCTAAAAGAGAGAAATCATCGTAATAATAATATAAAAATTTAGTGTTTAAGCTAGAATATATGTATATCAGTTTCTTATTGCTGTTGAAACAAATTACCACAACTTTAGTGGCTTAAAACAGGACAAATTTATTATTTTAAAGTGCTGGAGATCGTAAGTCCAAAATGAGTCTATGGAATAAACACAGGCATCAGAAGAGCTTTGTTCCTCGGGAGACTCTAACTGGGACAAAAAGAGAAAACGTAAAGAGAAGAAAGAAGAGCCCAGGCCAGTCTCAAACTTCAGGGCTCAAGTGATCCACCTGCCTTTGCTTCCCAAAGTGCTAGGATTATGGGCATGAGCCACCGCGTCTGGCCCTAAGTTTTGATGCAAATATTTAAATTTGTATTTTAATAGAAGGCCCTGGTTTTGAACCTCTTTTATAAAGCCAGAAACCCATTTTTACTTTATATTTCAATAGAGCTAACCCAGGGTTTCCATGGCCAATTCAGAAGGCCATACCTGCACTGTTTTCTTGGGCAGAACAATCTTCCTAACAGATCAGAGGAGTTCCTGGCTACCTTGTGCTATAGTGATCATTGTATCAAAGGTTATGAACCTCAGAAGTCAAAACTTCAGAGTTTCAATTTGACTATCAAGGCATGGAATCACAGTTCCTGGACTTAAAGATGGAACTGATGTTCATACAAAACACAAATATCTATGTAAAAAGAGGGGACTAGATGTAGTGTCTGGTTCCTGTGGGAGACACTGAAAGAGGACCCGCTGGGTTAGCCATCTATGGTTTCTGGCATGGCAATACTGCCTCTCTAGGACACATTTGAAACAGTTGGGGTGTCTTGATAATGGGGAGGGAAAAACGATAGCTACAGGCATTCATGTGGAAGTAAGCCAGAGTTGTTAAACTCAATGCATGGGACATTTCTGCACTGATGAATGGTCTCACGCAAATGCTAACAGCACCCCTGTTGAAAAGTGGATGGTCTTCTCCCTTTGACTCCTCATCCACATTTACCTCAATCACCTCTGCCCCCCAAAGATGCACTGTTTTCAGTGTAACCCTAAAGATATTTAAGCCAGCCAGACAATATTATGTGAAAACAGTACTAGTTTGTAAAGAATGGTACTTGTCCACAAGGCTGGATTAAAACCAAGAGAGGCCCTAAATCCTTTAAAAAATTGGAATTTCTCTCCCTTATGTAATTAAAAATAAATGGTACTAAACCATAATTTAAGAAGGTCTAATTTAGGTAAGAAAGTTCTGATTTCTGACTATTTTGTTGTTTTTTTTAATAAATATTAAATGCTCTGAAAATTATTTTATGTACTTATTGATTTATTAGACAAAGTCTTGCTCTGTCACCCAGGCTGGAGTGCGGTGGCACAATCTCAGCTCACTGAAACCTCCACCTCCCAGTTCAAGGGATCCTCTTGCCTCAGCCTCCTGAGTAGTTGGGATTACAGGTGCCTACCACCATGCCCGGCTCACTTTTGTATAAAAATTACTTTTCTTATTTCTTTTAATGCCCCTCCTTTGCTAGTACTCAGTGCCTATGCTTTGTCTATTGCTGCTCATTGGATGAAAATTAGAAAGAACTCTTCATTCTGAATTTACTTAAGTGGGTTGTTGAAAAGTCCAAAGTTGTGGGAATGCAAGTGACTTGCAGAGGACTAGATCTTTTGCTGAGTTCCAGTTCTGGCTCCATCACTGACTATATGACTTGGGGTAAGGTGCTTTAATATCTGTTTGTCTGTAAAATAAAGGGAATAAAGGAATACACCTAATGGGTTGTAAGGATACATGAAAGCATATGTGCCCTGATATGTAGTAAGTGCTCAGTAATAAGTGATCAGAAGTGCCCAGTATATTTGCGAAACCTCATCTCTATAAAAAAAAAAAAAATACTAAAATTAGCCAGGCATGTTGGCGGGTACCTGTAGTCCCAGCTACTCAGGAGACTGAGGTGGGAGGATCGCTTGCACCCAGGAGGCAGAGATTGCAGTGAGCCAAGATCCCGCCACTGCACTCCACCCTGGGCGACAGAGTCAGACCCTCTCTCAAAAAAAATAAAAATTAAAAAAAAAGTT
The DNA here is from genome assembly GCF_000001405.40 of Homo sapiens. Classification (NCBI taxonomy): domain Eukaryota; kingdom Metazoa; phylum Chordata; class Mammalia; order Primates; family Hominidae; genus Homo; species Homo sapiens. Next base: position 211,569,305 of record NC_000001.11, read on the forward strand.
AGTACTCAGTGTATCTTATCTATTAATAGTGTAACTACTGTATATCTTTTTCCATTCCTGCCATTCCTAAATATTCCAGACAACTTTAAATACCTGCAATGTGCTGGTCCCTGTGCTATATCCTTAGGAAATAAATATGGAAAAGACATAGTCTTGACCGAATAGAGTTTATAATCTAGAAGTGAAACTGGTTTTAAAATAAGAACAAAGTGCCACAAATTACTTGTTTTAAAAGAAAAAAGGCTGAGCTGGGTGTGGTGGCTCACGCCTGAAATCCTAGCACTTTGGGAGGCTGTAGGGGGTGGATCATCTGAGCTCAGGAGTTCGAGACCAGCCTGGGCAACATGGTGAAACCCTGTCTCTACTAAAAATACAAAAAATTAGCTGGGCGTAGTGGCGCGAACCTGTAGTCCAGCTACTTGGGAGGCTGAGGCAGGAGAATCCCTTGAACCCAGGAGGCGGAGGTTGCAGTGAGCTGAGATGGCGCCACTGCAGTCCAGCAGGTCGACAGAGCAAAACTCAACAACAAAAAAGGCTGAATAGAGTAGTGGGGGGGAAAATGATGGTCAATTCTGAAGGCTCAGAATTGTCTATGAAATTTATTTAAAAGCAATGTTACTTGACTTTTTAAATTATTTTTATCCAATTCAAGGAACAGCTTTCATCTAAATGTGCAATGCATAGTACATGAAATTTCAGGGAATATTGTCATATAATCTTTTGAAAGACCATATTGCCTGGGAAGATAATTGTTTTCTGAACCCTGAACAATAGACACATCGAGATAAGAAAAAAGTTTGGCCAATGGCAATCATAAGATACCACTGATTGTACTATGCATTCTGATTTCAGAAATGCTAAAATATAAGAAGAATGTGTGTGTGGAATCAATTGAAATGTAGTATATGTACATGTGGACATGTGTATTTGACTTTTAGCATTGAATTATCTGGTAAACTGATTTGTCTTCCTGTCTCACTTTGCCTACATGTCATTCCAAATATGTAGAGTACCTTTCCCACTTTCTTATTTATCTACTCAAAAAATTATTGATAGTGAAATTGGTAGTGTCGTCCTTTCCTATGAAACCAAATTTAAACTAGTTGTCATGGCACTTTTAACCTTTATAATCTCTTTATACCTCTCAACCCCTTAACTTTTTAACCTTTTTTTTTTTTTGAGACTGGGTTGGGCTCTGTCACCCAGGTTGGAGTACAGTGGCACTATCTCGGATCACTGCAAACTCCATCTCCCCAGCTCTAGTGATCCTCCCACCTCAGCCTCCTGAGTAGCTGGGACTACAGGCATGCTAATTTACCACACCTGCCTAATTTTTGTATTTTTAGTAGAGATGGGGTTTCCCCATGTTGGCCAGGCTTGTCTCAAACTCCTGGCCTCAAGTGATCCACCTACCTCAGTCTCCCAAAGTGCTGGGATTACAGGAGTAAACCACCATGCCCAGCCCTGGCTAATTTTTGTATTATTATTTTTTTGGTAGAGACCTGGTTTTGCCATGTTGCCCAGGCTGGTCTCGAGCTCCTAAGCTCAAGTGGATCTGACCCACCTCAGCCTTCCAAAGTGTTGGGATTACAGGCATGAGCCACCCTGCCCAGACCCCCAATTCTTTATACCACTATTCCTGCTCCCTTGCCTCTCAAACCCTACTCCTTTCCACTTTAACCTACATATCCTTTCCAAATTTTTTTTTACCTCTTCTTTGGAATATCTACTGTATATAGATCAATTCCTTTATCTACTGCCATTTATTGTCAGTTGATTTTTTCAACTGTTGTCTCACAGCCCAAAATACAAGTTCTTTAATGAATTTTTTTATGAAACTACATTTGTGATAGTCCTGAGGCTCATAGAACCACAATAATATACTATTGCGTTAAGAATTTTAGATGATTTACAGGTGTAAAATATTTAATAAACCTTATTAGTAACTATGCTTATAAATAAAAAAATAGCAAGTGCCAAAAGCAGCAGGTTAACCACAACTATATAATCTATAAGCTTAATGCTTATAATAAAATTCAAAGCCACTGAGTATTTCATATTAGTGAGCCTTTGCAGTGTTACCCTTTCAATTTTTAATTGCAATTTTTGCTTACATTTTCTTCCACACCCATCTTGTAACCTAGTCACTCTGTACACTTGCAACATTTGTGTTAAACTGAAATTTCTCTTTCAATTATCTGAAATCCAACTCTCTGTGTAACTAAGCCTAGTATCGGAGGGGAGGCCATATGCACAAATGAAGTAGATATTAAAATTAGTTTATTTTTCTACTTAACTTTTAATAAATGAGAAGAAACACAGTAGTCTGTCTCATATAGAACATTTATAATACATAACAATCCATAAAGCCTCATGGTGAGGTAGGAACAGCTTTGGAAAATAACACACAGTCATGAAAACATACAAAAAGTTAGGTAAAATGTTGCAGCACTAAAGATATTTTATCTGCATCTGTATTTAATGAGATGATAACTGCATTTAACTGGCCCACATCTGGCCCAAAGGACAGGCAACAGAAGACACAAAACAACACAACATATAAGTTTCATAATCACAGAATATACTGATACACTTCATTGTGCTGTTTCAAGGCAGAACCATAACATGGCAATTTGTGTCTTTTTATATATATATATAACCACATATTAATTGTATGTTACATTCCCTCCAGCATCTTTTTGCCAAAGACACTGGACCATAAAATTTTTGGTTTAAAAGTTTAAATTGAATAACATACAAAAGGCTCTTGTGCCAGTGAAAATGACTGCTAAATATTCCAGAGCTTGTTAGTAAAACAAAATAGCATTACCACATAGTATCGGTAGAGCTACATCAAAATAGTGCTATTATAATCCCAATTTCAGAGACGTGAAACACTGTATGACACAGTTTCAATTTTAAAAATGACAAACAAAAAACCCCTACACCTTCCCAAGAGTTTTAACACTGTTTATGACTTAACTGAAACTCAGTATTAAAATAAATATTTTTATATTGTAGAATTACTCTCCATATTTGTGTGAACATCTTAAGACAGCAGGTTAATGACATTTTTATCATTCAAATGATATCTGCTTATACACAGTAAAAATCTTCAACTCAACACCAGTTAACATACGAAATACTTCACATTAGGTTCCATAGGTCTTTTCCCTCAAAACTGTCAAAAATTCAAAATTAACTTAAGGATGTTAATAAGACACAAACGGTTAACACAGCCTTCTACCTACTGTGATTTTCCAAGGTGCATTTGATGGACATTTTTCCTATTCAAGTTACATACCTTAGTTATTCAACATACTGTTCTCTAAAATGTTAAAACACATACAGCAAAGTTTTTGAGGATTCTGTTTTTTAGGTTTTAGTCCATAGTTTTACAATGCAGACATCCTTCAGAAAAAACTAAGCAATCATAAAAGCTAAAAGGTGACAATGGAGAATTAAATCTCTCATCACTAAGGCTGCATTTGGCTTGGAAAAATTTCTTGGTTTTAATTCAGGCACATGCAGCACCTCCTTTTCACTAAACTGAGACAACAGACAAGTTTCTAAACACATATTCTACACTGATCTTGCTCAAATATAAAAGAGCCAGCAGGAGAGATGCAACTCCTAAAACTGATGCAGTGTTATAAAATAGCATATTTAAATATTGGGTTTAAGTCTCCTAATAATTCAGAGTATTTCCCTCATTTTCTTTCAGAAAGGAATAAGCTATTTTGAGAAAGACACTTAAATCCTACAATATTTAAATACAAAAGCATGTCTTTTTTAAAAGATAATGCTAATATAGCTACAATGGGTTAGAAAGTGCATTGTAAAGAAATAAATAATTCTCTGCTAAAACTCAAAAGGTGAGTCAGTGCCCACTGTTTCTGCCGACAGTCATTTGAAAAAAGAAAATCCTATGGTACCACCATTATATATAAGCTACTTAAAAATTATGAAAAGTGAAATAACTCAAACCTAAAGGCTGTTATCTTCAAAGCACTTTTGAAAAACAAACAAACATAGCCCTTGTCCTATGCTTATATACCATTTTTTAAAATCCTCATTCAGTTGATGTCTTGTACTTAGGTGTCATGCCATCTTTAAGACACAGACCTCAAGTAGAGCATTTGTAAAGAAAACCTCATTGAATGTAATATATTTTATCAGTTATCTTTGTATCATTGCTGAAATGTTTATGTAACAAATTGATATCTGAATAAAATGTTCTGTAAAGTATTAAATCAGGAATGTACATGATACAGTACAATTCACAGCTTTCTCTTCTTGTTCGCCCAGATGAGATCCCTCAATTTCATGTTTAAAAAAAACCACCCAAACCTTTTCGCAAAATTCAAGGTAACTATCAGTTTAGGAATTGAATTACACAATATCAGATAAGAATATTAAAAGATCAAGATGTATTGCAAACTGGCAGGTTATGGTTTTGGCCCATTATAGTAAATGTGAACTTACAAACTGTGTTCCTAAAATTACCATATTTTCACTGGAAAAAATCAGCTGTTCTTAAATAGGCCCATCGCCAGCAATAGGCTTATACTAGGAAAAACACACACCACAAAAGATCATCCCTTTAAAAAGTAACTGTCAAATCCTAACACTTTTTCCTCTTACAACCCATTAAACAATGAACTATTTTAAATCCCAAAACGTAGCCATCCCAAAAGTAGTCAGCTATAAAAGTAGTCAGAATACCTTGTTTCTAGAAAAATAGAGCTATACATAACTGATGCTAATATTAATCCTTTCAAGGACAAAAATCTAATTTTGTCACAAAGCATACCCTCTATCAAGAAAAATATAACTTAAACACCCTTAAATATTTGTGTTGGATTTGAAATCTATAGCAATAATGAAATAGCCACAATTTTCTGTGTAGATATTGTGGCATCTTGCAAAATAAGCCACTATTGGAAGATCTGAGTATGTGAAGACAGGATGACTTACAAAATCTTAATTAATTTTGCTTTAATTATTAATTTTGCTAAGAATTTAATATCCAAACTGCATTAACCTTCTGGTTTTCTTTCCTCTCAAGTCAGTGACTCTTAGAAAGCACAAACATTGCTGGTTGTGCTCAAAAAGCTCCATTTAAATCCATTCATGATTGGTTATCATGAAATGACCTTGAAAATTTTTTTTCAAACGCCCGGTTTAAAAGATTACATTAATCGTTTGCGTTTAGCATGTAATTATTAGGTGTCAACATCCTTAAAAATACTTATATATTTTGTAAATAAACTTGCAGCTCAATGTTTTTATACCAATCTTTCAAAGAAAGTAATGCTGGTGAACATGTCCAAGTTTCAGATTAACTTTGGTAGAATAAAAAGTTGAAATTCTCAAAATAATTTAGAAATGTAGTCTCAATATTATCATACAATAACCTAAATATTTAGTTTGGTAAACTTTCTTCCTTGCTCTTACTACCCCATTTGCCCCATTGTGTGTAAACTGTAGTTCAATTTGTTAATTATCTTACTGTTTAATAGCCAGCAATACAGAATACAGGATAGTAACTGATCTTATTTCCTACTAATAGCCATGAGTCACTCTTAAAATATGCTGCCATTATGCTATGTAATGATCTCAAAGGGCAATATCACCTAAAATGTCAAAGGAAACAAACTGTTGATGATTTTAAAGTTCTATCAATTATAATTCTAATAAAGTATAACACTGGGGGAAAAGAAAAGCAGAGAAATTCCAGTAACAATTTTATTTATCCCCCTAATTTTTATCATGGGAAAAATCCAGAAATCAAATGTCATTATGTTATATAAGGTTTAACTTACTTTAAACAAAAATGTAACATAGTGTTAAAACTGGCTTTCCAAAACAGTCACAGCATAGCTGTACTCTGTACTAATAATCACAAAATTGTAATATAGAACTCTGTTATGCAGTCCCATTATGTTCTTACAAAAATAGAATTAAACTGTGTGACCAGACAAGGACTTCAATTACACTACTTGGCAAACTTAGAATTTCAGTGGAGTCTTTTTCCTCTTGCAGTTTAAAGCAAAAGTCAAATATCACATCTTTTTCAAGACTCACAAAGATGATTCAGGTTGTTTGTTTGGCATGTTTTTAATCTCTATCACAACAGCAGGGATGTTTTCAGCTTTAGTCCTCCTGGGCTTCTTCTCTAGATTGTTACTAAGTTCTAAACAAGAAATGCTAACTGCTGGGGTCTTTTCTGCATCCTTTCCAGAAGGGGCTTGTGGTAGTGTCCCACAACATTGCTTCAAAGCACACTGGGTTCTGCAGGCAAGTTCACACGGAACTACACTTGATTTAGAGCCTACACTAGCAAATTCAGGCTGAATGGTAGTAGCGTGAATTCCGTGATTATGAAAAACGTCTTTAATGGTTTTAGCCACCTCCATGTATGATGTTGGATCTTCACATTTTATGTGAGCAGTGGCAATGATTCTGCTTCCAGCAAGTTGCCAAACATGTAATTCATGAACTTCCTCAACTCCTTCAACATTTCGAAGTTCTTTTATCAAATTTCTGATATCAATTTGTTTAGGAACAGTTTGTAGAAGAATAAGAGCAGATTCCTTAAGTAATGGATAGGTTGTGTAAAGAAGTATACAAACCATTACAACACAAAGAGTTGGATCTAAATATAGCACCCAGCAAGGACCAGCCTCATAAACTGATGCATGAGTACTATTAATTATTTCTACAAATGCTTTGCAGGGGTCAGGGAAACATGGATTCACACAAAAATCCCCTTCAGAACAACCTTTCCAAGAAAAGTAAAAGACTAAGGCATTTACTACTACAATCACTGAACCCAAGGCATCTCCAAGGACATGCAGAAAAACTCCACGCATGTTAAGTTGTCCAGCCCTATCTTCTTCCAGTTCCATATGGTCAGGTTCTCTGACAAGATTTCCATTCACTTGTACTTCCACTGTATCACCACTTCTGGGGTTTTCTGGGTCTACAAAGAAATAAAAATTTTATATCAAATACATTTAAAGTGTTTATATAAACATCCTTGTCTAATTCTTTTTAAGTGGTGATGAAGGTGAAAATTTTTTCAGAAAGTACAATTAAAAAAATGTGCTCAGAGCAATTTAATATAAATTGACATTCTGGGAATGAGCCAGGACATAATAGCCAGGGCTAAATTAAGTCATTGTGATACTGCTTCTTCACCCTCCTAACCACTCTCCTGCCTCCTCCTCTCCAAAATAGTGTATATTTTCTATGGGGGTGGAGTCCTGCAACCATTCTGCTATACTTTATGGTATATACAAAGGAAAACATAAAATTGAATGCTAACACCAAAATTAAATGCAGCTAGGAATAAGTCTACTAATACAAAATACCTGATTTGACACTCGGGCACTCTCTAGTCACTCTTTGTCACTGAGGCCAATTGCTTGAGAATAAAACCAATTTTAACTTTTAAACTTTTATTATGAATATAAAAGTTTCTTGGTAGGGGGGTTTAAAAACTGACAAATCAACAATAAAAATCAATAATCACAGAGATTATTAGAAAAATTGAAACTAAATGACTACCTGCCCTACTAACTTTTAAATCAAAAGTATTGATCTTTTCAAAAAGTATTGATCAAAAGTATTCAAAAAGATAAAAAGTATTGATCTTTTGAAATTACACACCAGAGAAACTTAATTTTCTTTGGAATAACACCTTGCCGAGTGGAGTGAGAGGAAAACCAATTACTTATTAAACCTTTCCAATGTACAACTTGAATTTCACTAACTTCATATTCTGCACTCGAAAAGGAAAATTATGTAGCATAATTTATAATGATACAAGGTAAATAAACGTAAGTGAAGGAAATAAGACCAAATTGTTAAGCACCATTGAGCTTGGGTAGTAGGACACTGGTTGAGTCATTTCCATCTCCTTTCTTTCAACATTTATTTTCAAATTTCCTTCAAGAGCACTTAATGTTAAATATAAAAAGCATCCACTAAAAATATAAGATGAATAAATTACCATCACTTTTAGTTCAGTACGATTATGAAAAGTCCTGGGAAAATGTTAAACATGCCCAGACAGGTCCTAAATCTATGATTTCCAGGATTAGGGATCAATTAGCTGAAGCATACACTGCTGTTCATAAAAGAAACCTTTAACCAGGGTTTACACGCTCTGAATGCATATTATGAAACGGAGTTCAATGGGCATAAGAACTACTTTGGCAGAGCAAGGTTTCCAGCACCCAACTACTGGGGACGAATTGGGGATTCTCTCCGTTTCCCAAGAGGGCCAAGGAATTGAATTGGGAAGCATTTCTGACGCTGTTATAACCATAACCAGACAAGTCTCCAGCAAAGTTGCTGCAGCCTGTAAAGACAGCCAAGTGCGGGTGTGGACTGCAGCGGGATGATGATCACCTCCTGACCCTTTTTCTTAGGGTCTGACCCACAGCCCCCACCTACAAATATGCCAGACGCGTCGCCGGCTCCTTGCACCCGACTGAGGGGGTTCTGATTTCCTGGAGCAGCAGCGGGGCGTGTGCAGGACGGGGAGGGAGCAGGCAGGGGCGGCGCGGCGCAGGCCCGCTCGGGCAGCAGGGGGCGTGCGGGCCACCCCGCCGAAGGCCAGGCGAGGCTCTGGGCACCCCAAACCCAACCACCTGCGGCAGCGACTTTCCCGGCTCACCTGCGGGGTCCAATTTCAGCCCGTTGGAGTTGCTGGTATTGGCCACCAGGGTGTTGGTCTCCTCCTGGTCGGGACCCTGCTCGCCCGGGGCCACGTTGATGTCGCTGCTCCCGGGGCGGGTGCTCTTAACGCGAGGCCCCTTGGGGAGGCCGTGGCCGTGGCCGTGACCCCCGTGCGAGTGGCCGTGGCCGGAGTCCTGGCTGAAGCCGCTGTGATGGTGGAAGAGGCAGAGCCCCAGCACGTTGACCAGCAGCCCGGCCACGCCGACCCCAAGGACCACCAGCGGCTGCTGCATCTCGTGCGGCTCGATGAAGCGCTCGATGGCCTCCAGCAGGATGGCGAAACAGAGGCCAGTCAGGAAGATGGCGTTCACCAGAGCCCCCATTACCTCGGCTCGGATCCAGCCGAACGTGTTCTTCTGGGTGGCGTGGGTCCGCCGGGCGAAGCGCTCGGCCACCAGCGCCACCACCAGCGCCAGCACGTCCGACAGCATGTGGAAGGAGTCGGAGAGCATCGCCAGCGACGAGGTCACCCGGCTCACCACCACCTCCAGCACCATGAACATGAAGGTCAGCGCCAGCATGCACAGCAGCCGGCCCCGGTTCCGACCCCAACACCCCATGGCTGCGGCTGCGGGGCCCGCCGAGCCCGGCCCGGAGACTGGTGCAGCGGCGGCGTTGGCGGGACGCGGAGGGTCGGCGACCGCGACACGGAGGAGCGCCCGAGTCGGGCCGTTCGGGAAACCGCTGAGGGGCCCCCGCGGCCGCACGGGGACAAGCCCGGGTCAAGCCGCCGAGCCCCGCGCCTGTGGGCGTTCTCCGCCAGCCGGCGGCGCCGCGCCGCGCAGCTCCTCAGGCGTCCGTCCTCAGAGCCGGCGCCGAGGCCCGGCTCAGCCTCAGCAGCCCCCACACCCAGGCGGCGGCGGTGGCGGGGAGCTGGGCTCCCGGAGCCGGGGTACCAAGAGCCGCAGCCGGAGCAGGAGCAGGAGGGCGGCGGGCGAGGGCGGCAGGAGAGGGCGACGGGCAGCTTCGCGCCGAGAAAGCTCCGAGCATCTGAGGGCTCTGCTTGCTGGTCTCCTCTGCGGCGGCTGGACTGAGGAGCGGATGGCTGAGGAGCTAGAGAGGCGGCGGCCACGGCAGCTGCACTCGGCCCGGTCTCGGGCGCCTTCTTCGCCCCCCCGCCTTTGCAGACGGTTTACAAAAAAACTTTGCTTTGCACTCGGAACCCCCGTTTTCACACGGACCCGAGCGTGACAAGGCCTTGCCGCCCCGCCCACCAGGCCCGGCACGCTTCCCCATTGGTCAGGACCCCCTCACGACAGCCTCGGCGTCCCGCCCAGCCACGCTCACTATTGGATGGAGCCTCGGAGGGGCGGGAAGGGGGCGGGGTCGCGGCTCCAACAGATAGGGGCGGGGCCTTTTCCTCCCGGAGCCGGGCGTGGGCCGGGGGGCCGTGGCCGGGTGCAGCGGCGGGCGAATTGGGGGCGCGGGCCGCGTGCAGCGGGAGGGGGAGGGGCTGGCCGGGTCCCCTCGGGTGTGGCGGAGTCCTGGCCTGCGGACCATCGCAACTCCCAGCACACCTGCGGGGGCCGGGCTGCAAAGTCTGCAAACAGACTTTGATCCTCCGAGCCCAGTCCACGTGGGGGCGGGCCGCGCGGCGGCTGTGTGACAGCTCGGCGGCGGGGGAGGGGCCGGAGGGGAGCCCCTGAGCGCGGGGCCCTCGAGTACTCGGTCCTGTCGGAGGAGGCCGACAGACGCATAAACAAGTGCGACTGTAACTTGGGACTCTGCTGGACGCCGAGCTGAGGAGTTAGTCCTCCCGAAGGTCTGCTAGGGGCGTGGACCGAATCTTTGTACATGTTTTGGGAAAGCCAGTTTCTCCTATCACCATCAACCCCTGGAGACCTTGTGTGAACTCAGGTGTCTGTCACTGATTATCTAAGGACAGTTCAGGGTACAGACTTCAGGCAGGAGAAACCTGGGCTCTGCTCCTTGCCTTGTCAATAGCCAGCTGTGTGGCTTTGAGCAAGTCACCTAATCTCTCTAGACCTGTTTCCCCATCTATAAAGGACTGGACAAATGCAACTCTGAAGATCCCCGTCTGACTCCAAAATTCTAAGGCTCTATGATTTAACATTTATTTATAGACTACACACGGTGGAATCTTGTGCTGGTTGCTATGGGGAGGTGGAGGGGCAGTAAGAATACAAAGGAACGAGTTTCTGTCCAGGTGGAGGTAAAATATAAACACGACATTTTAAAATTACGATGGAATACTCTTGATAAATTGTGCTATTTTAGACTGAATACATAAGCACTGTGTTGTGGGTGGAGATGAGTTGATCTGGAAAGGAACAGCTTGCCCATCTAAGGTGGGGTGGTGGCTGGAATCAGAGTGGCTTAAGCTGGACCTGAAAGGCCTCACCACAGCCCCTGCGCAGCAGAAGGACCTCCCCACCCACTGCCCTAGATTACTACTGGACAAATGCAGTGCCAGCTATTGCCTGGAGATGTGTATACAAGGCTTGTTTGGAGCTGTTATTTTGCATTGTTTTGGTATTCTTGTAATTCCTATGAAATTTTTTTCACTTGTATGTAGTGTGTTTCTAGTCTCCCCATCCAGACTGGAGAGCTGGATCCTCACCTTCTGTTTCTGTTTTGCTGGAATATAAAGAATGGAGGAAAATTTTCAAGACATTATTAAGGAAAAAATGATAGAATTTGATGATTAATTGGGTATTGGGAAGGAGGAAGCTAGGTAGGAGAACAAAGATAGTTATAATGTTTCTAACCTGACAAGGAAAATACTGCCTTAAACAGGTGAGGAAGTTGGGAAGGGAGGCCAAGAAGCTGATTTTTAGGAGAAAATATGAACTCCATTTTTAATGTGCTTAATTTGAAGTGAAGTCTGGGTTTGGGCAGTGCTAAAGGGTGGATTAATGGGTTTAGGACTTCCATAACTTCCTCTCCTTTGATATGGATGAGTGACAGTTTTCTGATCATCTGTAAACACAGCTTCAAACATCCTATCAACTAGCCCCTCATATACAGAAATTCGGAAGCCACTTATGGGTCAAGATATCCTCATGGAAATGGCCTAGAGGCAGTTTGAAGACCATTTTGCTTTCTACTAAGGGCTGCTGTGCCTCGCTTTATTTAAAAAATACATTCCTCCAAATGCGAAGATTTGATACCCAAAGAAGAACCAATAAGAAGATGTAAAAGTCAGTGATGCTTGCAAACACAATAGCAATCCTTCAATAACTAAACAGACTAAATTGGGAGATTTTTAGACCCATATAAAAACAGGTTCAACTCATAGCCGCTTCTGAAAACCTACTTTGTGCCTGCATTTCAGCCATTTCCCAGACAATGTGCTTTATTCCCTCCTGGTGGGTGGTTGGGGGCGGGGCAGAGGGGGCAGGGAGTACATTTTCCAGGTTCTAGAGAAGTTATAATCATGTTCTCTGGAGAGAGTAATATTTACCACACAGCAGAACACTTCAGTCAGACTTTGTTTCCCTCTAACATTGTGTAGGCAAAAGACTTTGGTACCTCAACTCGAGCTTTTTCCCTTTTCATCTGGTTGTCCTAGTAGAGTGTCAACACAGGCAGGAATAGATTAAAATGAAGGGACACTATACTGTTATTCACCAACACCCCTGGAGGCTGTGGCCCTGGGTTGAGTAAGACGGCTTGGCTTTCTCTTCTTAATGTTTGAGAAATCTCCTGATAACTTGCTTAGTATCCAAACTGACTAAACCCAGCATACTTTAAAGATGAGAGAATAATGCTCTTTTTGGAAAAGAGACTGCCAATTTGAATGAAAGTCAAGGGCTTCAGACAAACTGCAATCTCAAAGCCCTCTGGACCTCTCCTTGCTTTTAATGAAAGTTTAAAATGATCTTGTAAGATTCTCGTAAAAACTGCTAAACACAAACGTACTTCTGAATTTTGGTAATCAAAAATCATGAGTGTATAAAGCTGTACCTTGCTTGGAAAGATAAAATAACAAAACCCTGTGAAAACCACATTATATTTGACTTTGGCTGACAGTAAATCACTTCTAATGTTCAATCTTAAAACTGATGGGGAAATCTCTCAAAACATAAATGAATAATTATTACAAATATGAAGTGAAATCTCTACCAACAACATGAAGGCCAAGGTTTGATTTCTCAGCTGCTCTCAAAGGAACAGGCAGTGGAACAAAGAATAAACAACTGACAATGCAGCAATAAAGCCCAGAAATAGCACTAAAGTCTCAGAGGTGTGAGGGAAACCATATGAAAGAAATGGTCAGAGCAGGAAACCCACGTAGCAGCAAAGGGGAAACAGGAACAGTGCAGAGAGTGAAACTGTACAGTAAGAGGCTGGGAACAGTCACTGAATTTTTATATTTGTTAATTTAAAGAATAGGCCGGGCACAGTGGCTCACACCTGTAATCCCAGCACTTTGGGAGGCCTAGACTTGTGGATCACCTGAGGTCAGGAGTTCAAGACCAGCCTGGCCAACATGGTGAAACCCCATTTCTACTAAAAATACAAAAATTAGCCAGGCATGGTGGTGCATGCCTGTAAAACCAGCTACTCGGGAGGCTGAGGCAGGAGAATCGCTTGAACCAGGGAGGCAGAGGTTGCAGTGAGCTGAGATAGCACCATTGCACTCCAGCCTGGGCGACAAGAGCAAAACTCCATCTCAAAAAAAAAAAAAAAAAAAAAAGAATAGCAGATGAGGGCTAGCAGCAAAAGGAACTTATTTTTCTTGGAGGCTGGAAACTGGGTCTAAGTTCTCCAGTTATGCCTGGAAATTCAATCTAGAAATAAAGGCACTGCTATCTATACAGAAACACTCATTAAAAGCATCTGTGAATTTCTTGGGTGCAGTGCTATATAATGTTAATACCAGAAATTGTTGAAGGCTCAGGTAGTCAGTGTTAAGACTTTAGACTGAATGCCCATTCTTTCTTTAGCCCTTCTACTCTTGGGGCTGGAGATGGTAATTAAAGCACAATGTACAGAAAATTTGAAAAAAAGAATTTAATTTAAAAGTATGTTTTTATGACTCTCTCCATTACTCATCCCTAAACATGCCGGCCAGTAGAGCATTTTGAAAGGATCACACACCTAATGAGTTTTAGGATGACAGTTCAGGGACTGGCCCTTAAAAGTTACTGTGTGATGTTGGAGAAGTTACTAAACCTCTCTGGGCCTCACTTTCCACATCTTCTCAGTGATGGGGTGTACATGATAGCTTCTTAACTGGAGTTAAAAGGTGAGTACAGGAGATGGAGCTGCCTAGTGCATATTCTCAGACAGGGCCTTTCAGGCCTCCTGTACTTGGGGTCACCAAGAATCCAGAGCTGAGTTCTCAACTTGCAAATTCAGAAACCACTTTTGAATTATTTCACCTAGGCGAACTCATTCATATGGACACAAAAAGGACTCATTTGCCAGCTGGACTTCCAGTTTGTTCACTTTCTCTGTCTCGGGTTAAAGCTCATTGCACAGGTCCTTCCTCCTTCCCTCTTGGTAGGCAGAACCTCACGGAAGGAAGGTTGCATGAGGACGGAACTAGGCTGCAGGAGCTGGAACTTCTGTGGAAGGGAGCATTTCCAGGCTCTCTTCTAGACTGTAAAATTATCTTGCCTTTCTCCAAACAGCCACTCTGCCCTCCTGTTCCTGAGTTGTACTCCATTTTACTGCCAGAGTGATCTTTTTGAAATCCAGATCTAGTCCTTGCAAAATACACATCCTCCACCACCCCCACGCCATCACGGCTGAGATCTTGCAGTGGCCTCCCAGTGCTAGGAGAAGGAGAACCAAACTTGGGTGCACACGGCCGGACCAGATCTGATCTGCCTCTGGCTGCTGTCCCCAGCCTCATGATGTCGCTCCACCAGATAAAGAGGGGACTGGCCTTTCTGACCACCATGAATCTACACACTCCCTCCTGCCAGAAGGCCTGTGCACACAGTGTTCTCACCCCGGGACACTCTTTCCTCCCTTCGTCCCCACGTTAATTCTTGCTCGTTCTTCAGCTCTCAGCTCAAGGGTCACTTCCTCAGGAGGTCTTCCCTGATTCCCCTGACCAGGTCAGATCGTTCTAGAACAAGCTCTCTCAGTTCATTGCCCGGCTCTTTTGTGGCATTTAGCAAAGATGCAATTTTACATTAAACCAAATATTTGATTGGATTGTAAGCTCTGTGAGGGCAGGGACAGTGTGTACATTTGCTCACCGTTATGTCCTTAGCCAGCTTGGCACATGGAGGGTACTCAGTAAATATTTGTTGAATGAATGAATGTTGATGAATTTACTTTTCCCAACTTAGTATTTCTTTTTTTTTTCAGTGGAGACAGGGGTTTCACCATGTTGGCTGGGCTGGTCTTGAACTCCTGACCTCAGGAGATCTACCCGCCTTGGCCTCCCAAAGTGCTGGGATTACAGGTGTGAGTCACTGCTCCCGCCAACTTGGTATTTCATGCATTCATTCCACAGGTCCTTAGTGAAACTCCATGATCTCCTATCTATACTAGAACACCAGAAACAGAGGCTCTGTTTCCTCTGGACAGTGTAGAAAACATCATGGCACATTCTTTAGTTAATTAGCTCACTTTTTCTTTACTTCAAGCAGACTACCGCCCTCTGTTGTGATATTATCTCACACAACATGCAATTATTGGATGAAACTGGGACTCACCCTTGAAATCTGCCATGATAACATTCCAGGTTCCCATACAGTTTTCAGAACACTTACCTGAGCTTCCTGATGATACAGATTATGGACTGACACCCCAAGAAGTTAAGGAATTTGCTCAAGACCCTACAGCTTGTGAATACAAGGCCCTAACTGCACCTGCAACTTTCTTGTTGTTGTTGAGGCAGAGCCTCTCTCTGTTGCCCAGGCTGGAGCGCAGTGGTGCCATCTCGGCTGTCTGCAACCTTCGCCTCCTGGGTTCAAGAGATTCTCCTGCCTCAGCCTCCCAAGTAGTTGGGATTACAGGCACCCGCCACCACGCCAGGCTAATTTTTTATATTTTTAGTACAGACGGGGTTTCACCATGTTGGCCAGGCTGGTCTTGAACTCCTGACCTCAGGTGATCCACCCGCCTCGGCCTCCCAAAGTCCTGGGATTACAGGCATGAGCCACCACGCCCAGCCAACATTTTTATTTTTAACTTCATACCCAAATTTGGGGGGAACAAACCCAGTCAGAGGCTCGAGACCTCATGTGCACCAACTACTACAAGTTCTACCGTTCACCTCAGTTCTAAAAGTTTCTGCTTCTATGATTTTCTTATTTGTAATTACTATAAGGACCAAGGGGAGGTGGCCTACTTGTGAGTGACACCTCTTTAACAGGTCACTCCAAGTTCTGATTCTCTAGTGATGTGTTCCAAAATTGGGTCCCATTCACACATAGTTCTGTAGGAAGAATTAGTTAATTTTTCTGCCTCCCACTTTTATCTATTTTTTACTTTCAATTCTTTAACAACCTGAATATCCTTCAAAGGGCTAGTGTTAGTAAAAATACTGTCCCCTCAGTCTGTGAGTTCAGTGCTTCTGGTACTTGAATGTGCACACAAATCACCTGGGAACTCATGAAAATGCAGATTCTGATTCAGTAGGCCAGCAGTGGGACCTGAGATTGCATTTCTAACAAGCTCCTAGGCAATGCCTGTGTAGATGGCCCCCAGAACACATTTTGAGTACCCAGGCATTATAAGCCCATACTTTTTAACTCTGGAGAGAGGATATTATCTGGAGTTCATATAAAAAATATTTTTTAAAAGTATCCCCACACTTATGAATTTATTAATTTTACTTTTTTTTTTTTTTTGAGATGGAGTCTCACTTTATCGCCCAGGCTAGAGTGCAGTGGTGCGATCTCAGCTCACCACAACCTCCACCTCCTAGGTTAAAGCCATTCTCCTGCCTCAGCCTCCCAAGTAGCTGGAATTACAGGCGTGTGCCACCACACTCGGCTAATTTTTGTATTTTGAGTAGAGATAGGGTTTCACCATGTTGGCCAGGTGGGTCTTGAATTCGTGACCTCAAGTGATCTGCCAGCCTCAGCCTTCCAAAGTGCTGGGATTACAGGCGTGAGCCACCGCACCTGGCCTAATTTTACTTTTTATTTTTTATTAATCTGTCATCATTTGAATTTTATTTTCAAATGAACAGACATCTTTTCTATATTAATTTTTTTTGAAACTGAGTCTCGCTCTGTCACCCAGGCTGGAGTGCAGTGGTGCCATCTCGGCTCACTGCAACCTCTGCCTCCCAGGTTCAAGCGATTCTCCTGCCTCAGCCTCCTGAGTAGCTGGGATTATAGGCTCACGCCACCAGCCCCGGCTAATTTTTGTAACTTGTATATTAAATTTTTTAATTTAATTTTTAAATGAAATCAAATGTCTTATTCTTGTGGGAAAGCACTTTTTAAAAAACAGTCAAATTCCAGGTGCAAATAAGCATTTCAGGTTTTGCTTATACTGTGTTACAGAAAAATAATTATGGTTTTTGACAACATTTTGTTACTCTGACTAGCATTAATGGCTCCTGAAGCCTGACTAGTAACTAAGGACCCAGAGTACTGCTGGGGGTCTCTCGTGCTCAAACCTTCCATTATTCAACAGGAAATGTCTTTCACATCAGGTGTTACTGAATGAATCCTCAAAGGTAGCCTAAAAGACTAAAAATGAATAAGCATGTTTAATATTCAGCTTGTGGCAGGAGCAGCACCAGCAGTAGTCACCAAGAAGTGTAGGTAGGAAGTGAGAATAGAGACACTTCTTTCTGCCTGTCTGCTGATTCTGGAGGAAGAGAGCAAAGATCTAACATCATCGTAGTTGTCTCTACAGCCCGTTCCCTGGGAATACTTGATAGTGACTTCACTTACGCTTTATGTTAGCTTTGAGGGTTACTCCATCATAAAGTCAGAGTTGATATTATCAAGAGAGATATTATCCTCAAAGTGTCTTTACCTTAGAAGCAACCACAATCAAAACAATAAGGAATTGTGTTTCTAGGCGCTGTCCATGCAAGTGTCTCCAAATTTTGAGTGCAATCCTTTAATGGAAAAACCAGTGCCTGCTAAACTGGAGCAAATGGAGATTGTCTTATCTCTCAGTTGCCCCCTGGTTTGCAACATAGGAAGATGGAAGAGATAAATCTAATGGAAAAAAAGAGTCTGCCTCCACACATTGGGATGAAAAGAGGGACAAGCTATGAAGTATTCCTTTCTCTTTCTGTAGCCAGACCTCTGTGGTCCAGGCCTGCATCATCATTCTCAGCAATTATGTGAGCATTTCCTAATAAGGTTTCTGTTCCCCCTTTCTTCTTCTATTTTACACAGTCCTTTCCAATTAATATTCTCATGCATCAATATTCACGTGCTGCTCTTGCTCAAGAACTCCCAGTACCTGCCCATTACCTGAAGAATGAAGTACAATATTTTATTCAGGTATTTAAAATATTCCACATGTGACCTTAACTTGTCTATCCAAAGTCATCTCTCATGACCGCTCAATACAAGCTCTCCATTCAAGTCCAATTATCCTCAGTGATGGTTCCAAGTTACCCACTGGCTCTGTGTCTTCATTTTCTCAATGGGGATGAAATTCATAACCTATCTCATTGGCTTGTTATGAGTCAGATGAGTTGATACATATAAGATGCTTAGGACAATGCCTGGCACATGGAAAGGGCTTATAATGGGTTGAATGATAGCCTCCAAAAAGATATGTCTGTGTCCTAATTTCTGAAATTTGTGAATGTTACCTTATTTGGGAAGAGACTTTTGCAGATGTAATTAAGTATCTTGAGATGAAGCACTCATCCTGGATGATCTAGGTGGGCCCTAAATTCAGTGAAAAGTGTCCTCATAAGAGAGTTACAAAGGACAAAGGAGAAGACCATGTGAAGATTGGGGCAGAGATGGCAGTGAGGCAGCCACAAACCAAGGAATGCCACCAGCCAACGGAAGTTGGAAAAGGCAAGAAAGGATTCTCCCCTATGCCTCTGGAGGGAGCAGGGCCCAGCCAACACCTTGAATTTAGACTTCTGGCCTCCAGGACTCTGAGACAATAAATTTCTGTTGTTTTAAGTAGTCGATTTTGGAGTAATTTGTTAGAGCCACCACAGGAAACTAATACGGTTTCATAGCTAATAAATATTTAATAGCTAAATTTTAGCCATTCTTATTAAAGAGCGCTGAACATATATCTTCCTTCTCCCCACAGCATTTTTATCTAATTGTTCTCCTTAAGTGTTTGCACAGTACTGTGCAGTTTAAAAAGCTGAATAGGCCAGACGCAGTAGCTCACACCTATAATCCCAGCACTTTGGGAGGCTGAGGCGGGCAGATCACATGAGGTCAGGAGTTTGAGACCAGCCTGGCCAACATGGTGAAACCTCGTTTCTACTAAACATACAAAAATTAGCTGGGCGTGGTGGTGCATATCTGTAATCCCAGCTACTCGGGAGGCTGAGGCAGGAAAATCACTTAAACCTGGAAGGTGGAGGTTGCACTGAGCCGAAATTGTGACACTGCACTCCAGCCTGTGTGACAGAGTGAGATTCCGTCTCAAAAAAAAAAAAAAAAAGTTGAATAAATATTTATTGAAAGAATGCTTGAATAAATGAATGAGTAAATGAGTGAATGAATGAAAACCCTACCCCTACCACTTCTCTTGGTGCCACACACCCACAATAGCTTTTCCTGACTGTCGTATTCCATAAAGTATACTTTTCATTTGCTGCCCTGTAATGTATCCCTTTTGTGTGTCTCTCTCCCAGCTCCCCAAAGCTACTTGAGGACAGGGATCATTGCTTTTATCTTTCTGTATCCTCAGGGTCTAGCACATGGTAGTGACTCAAGTCTATGGCAACAATAATAATCTTATTGTCAAAAGTTGTCTACTAATTTGTTACTCATTCCATAGTTTCCTCAAGCCCTAGCGTGTGTTGTATCAAAGACAGCAGTTTGTTCCTCGCCTTTCCCATCTGCCAATGAGCCTTCTAGTTCCAGAAGATTTCACATATATATCGCAAATGAAAGGTGAGCTTGAACAGGTTAATCCTTCTGCTGGGTAGACTTGTGTTGAAATAATTAGGCTATAGGCCCATGCCTGGAGATCTTTTCCTTACACATATGGAGATGTTGGTTTTCCTGGTGTTTCTCACAGTGGAATTACTCTGTTATTTGTTTACTCATGAGCCTGTTTTCTTTGTGACCCAGGTAGCTCTTCATGTTGGTTGGTGAACCCCTGAACTACAGGGAGCCAGCTCTGCCTTGAGCTTCTCCTGTTGAACGACGGTTATTCTCATGGCTCAACGCAGGGCATTTTTCCCCATCTCCAGTCAAGAACGCAGGGTCTTGGGCCAGGCCTGGTGGCTCACACACATAATTTCAGCACTTTTAGAGGTCGAGGCGGGCATATTGCTTGAGCTCAGGAGTTGGAGACCAGCCTTGGCAACATGGTAAAACCCCCTGTGGTCCCAGCGGTCCCAGCAACTTGGGAGGCTGAGGTGGGAGGATCGCTTGAGCCAGGGAGGCAGAGGCTGCAGTGAGCTGAGATCATGCCACTGCACTTCATCCTGGGTGACAAAGCAAAACCCTGACTGAACAACAACAGCAAATGCTAAAGAACTCAGGGTCTGACCACCACTCAGTAATGTGATATCAGACTGGCCAAAAAAAACCCCAAACTTATTTGGACATATTCTCAAACTTAGAATAAGTTTCAAGAAACATCCCTTTTAGATTAAAGGAGGAAAAAGGGATAAGATAAACATATACCCTTTACCTACTTTTACCTATTGTTAGCATTTTACCCCATTTGCTTTAGCTATTTTTGCATTCTCTTTCTCTCTCTTTTGAACCATATGAGGGTAAGTTACATACATCATGATCCTTCACTTCTGAATACCTTAGTGTGCAATTCATAAAAGTAGGAATAGGCCAACTCTGGGCACATTGCCTGTGAGTTAGCCCTGTTCCACATGGAGTAGAGAAAAAAATAAAAATAAAAATAGGAATATTCTCTTACATAACCACAGTACATTTATCAGCCTCACAATTTTACATCGGTACTGCCTATATTCCAATGTTGTCAGTTGATCTAATGGTGTATTTTATAGAATTATCCTCTTCTCCCCACTCCTGTGCAGCACTGAGTCTAGGGTCAGGCTTACATCTAGTTGTCTTATCCCTTCTTATCCCTTTTACCTCCTTTAATCTGGAACATTTCCATAGCCTTTCTTTGTCTTTTTTTTGAGACAGAGTCTTGCTCTGTTGCTCAGGCTGGAGTGCAGTTGCACAATCCTGGCTCACCGCAACTTCCTCCTCCTGGGTTCCAGCGATCCTCAGCCTCCTGAGTAGCTGGGACTACAGTCATGTGCCACCACACCCGGCTAATTTTTGTATTTTTAGTAGAGATGGGGTTTCGCCATGTTGGCCAGGATGGTCATGAACTCCTGGCCTCAAGTGATCCATCCATCTGCCTCGGCCTCCCTCCCAAAGTGCTGGGATTACAGGTGTAAGCCCCTACCCCTGGCCCTTTGTCTCTTATGATGTTGATATTTTTTAAGAATACAGTGCCCCTCATCTTTTTTTTTTTTTAAATAGAACATTCCTATTTTGTTTGTTATGTATTCTTGGCTAGAATATTGCAAAAATTAACATTGTGTCCTTCTAAGGATATCATGCTGGAGGCACACAAGTTTCATCTGCCCCTTACTGGTAAATGTAAATTTGTATCACCCTGTCAAGGTGTTGCCCAGTTTCTCCACTGGGTAATTAATTTTTTTCTCCCTTCAACTAATAAGCAGTCTTTGGGGAGATACTTTTAAGACCATGCAAATAGCTTGTTCTTCAACATTTCCTCCTTTGATTTAGCATCTATTGATAATTCCTGCCTGATCCCATGTTTACTACAATGATTTCCAAAATGATGATGTTCTGGCTCCAGCAGTTCCTCCCCATTTCCTAGCCAACTCTCAATATTCTGCTGTAAGCAAGAGCCCTCCCTTCTCCCCATTTACTTATTTACCTATTATCAGTAAGGACTTACAAATGCCTATTTTTTTAGTGCTTTATAATTCATTACTGACTTAATTTTGGTGCTTAATTTGTCCCAGATTTTCCCAGTGGGAACTTCTTCAAGCTGGCTCTTAGGTTAGGTAGATATTTAATGGAGGTTTCTTGATTATGATTGGATGATAAAATACAAGATGTTAATAGTTATTCTATGCACTCTAGCATAATAGGTGAGCATGTAGTACAGTGGTTAAGGGTTTGGAATTTAGATAGATCTGAGTTCAATCCTGGCTTTCCTATTTACTGGCAATGTTTTGGGTAGATTACTTATGCTCTCTGTGCCTCAGTTTCCTCACGGCAGTGTGATAATATTAGAACCTACCTCATAGGGTTTTGTTTTGTTTTGTTTTTGAGACAGAGTTTCACTCTTGTTGTCTAGGCTGCAGTGCAATGGTGCAATCTTGGCTCACCGCAACCTCCACCTCCCGGGTTCAAGCGATTCTCCTGCCTCAGCCTCCCAAGTAGCTGGGATTACAGGCATGCACCATCGTGCCCGGCTAATTTTGTTTTTTTAGTAGAGATGGAGTTTCACCATGTTGGTCAGGCTGGTCTTGAACTCCTGACCTCAGGTGATCTACCTGCCTCGGCCTCCCAAAGTGCTGGCATTACAGGCATGAGCCACCACCATGAGCCCAGCCCCTCATAGGGTTTTTATAAGGATTAGGTGAGATAATTATGTAAACCGCTTCATAGAGTAACTGACAAATACAAACGTGATAGATGTGGGCAAGGGCCATATTTTATTTCCCCTTATTATAGCTTATGTATGGTATAGGTTGTCTCAATTGCTATTGCTGTTTCCTACAGCCACCATCGAAAGGTCTCCCCAAATTCATATCTACCTGCCCTTTTACAAAACTTTTTTTTTTTTTTTGTAGAGTTGGGGTGGGAGGGGTTTCTCTATGTTGCCCAGGCTGGTCTTGAACTCCTGGGCTCAAACAATCAGCCCAGTCAGGATTACAGGAGTGAGCCACCATGTCTGCCCTACAATTCATTTTAGTTAATTGAATTGTTGAATGTTGTAGGTCTCAAGGGACCCAGAGATAATCTAGCGTCACTGCTCTTTTGTTGGGATGTGGAGTATGACTTGAGAGGTTAAATGGTTTGTTTCAGGTCACCCAGGAAAGGTGAAAGAGCGAGGAGGGGTGCCCGATTTTCCCCTGCACACTTCGCATGCCATACCCTATCTCCACTGCCATCAAGAGCAATATTCATTTGGTTTCTTTTCCCAGTCAAGGGGTATTATTCAGAGCATCAGTGGGAAAGCGTCTCATTTTCTGCATGACTCATCCTCATTCCAAGATTAACATGCTCCACTTTCATTCTTTGCCTCCCACTCAGTTTCACATCCAGCCAGAGCCTTGAGAGCCTCCATGCCCACCCAATCTGCCTCCTGCTCCCACCCTGTTCTGCCTCTTCTCCGGTTCTGCTTTTACCTCCTTGCCCTACACTGTCCCACCACCCTCAGATTCCACCGACCACTTTGGTTGGACTCTGGTTTAAGAAAGGCATGTCTTCCTGAAATACCACTCTGATCTATGTTGAAAATAGCTTAAAGAAATATACTTAAGTTGCAGCAGATATACAGGGACAAGTGTTTGTCCATATACTTCTGACATTCCATTCAGGTCCAAGCATTATAGCAAAAAGCATGCATTTCTGGACATATCTATTTTATTTCAACCTCCTCTAAAAAAAAAACATTAGGGGTTCTTCTGATGTACTGGGATGTTGTTGAACAAAATAAATGTGCCATTGGCTAAGGCTTGTGGGATCTTTATATTGTGCCAAGACTTTCAACTTCTTACTGTTTTGTTGTTGTTGTTGTTGTTTGAGACAGAGTCTCACTCTATTGCCCAGGCTGGAGTGCAGTGGCACAATCTCAGCTCATTGCAACCTCTGCCTCCCAGTTCAAGCATTCTTGTGCCTCAGCCTCCTGAGTAGCTGGGATTACAGGCACCGGTCACTATGCCCGGCTAATTTTTATATTTTTAGTAGAGACAAGGTTTCACCATGTTGGCCAGGCTGGTCTCAAACTCCTGACCTCAGGTAATCCGCCCACCTCGGCCTTCCAAAGTGCTGGGATTACAGGCGTGAGCCACTGCACCCGGCCTGTACTGTTTTTTTGAAACACGCTCTGACCTGTATAATTCAATCATGCTTACATCAAAATGCTAGTAAAATACTGAGATATTTACAGATGGAATGATATGATGTCTGGGATTTGCTTCAAAACAATCCAGGAGGTAGGGAAATGTGGGGGATGGTATATATAGATAAAGCAAGATTGGCCATGAATTGATAAAGTGATGAGTGCACGAGGTTTCTGTAACTTTCTGTATGATTGAAATGATCTGTAATAAAAAGTTTTTAAATGCTAGTTTAAATTTTCATAATTATCTTATTCCCTTTTCTTTTCTTTTTTTTTTTTTTTATTCCGCCTCTCGAAAATGTATCCTGTCTTGAAAGCTAGTTTGGGGCCAGGAACAGTGGCTCACCGCTGTAATCCCAGCACTTCGGGAGGCCAAGGCAGGCAGATCACTCGAGGCCAGGAGTTTGAGACCAGCCTGGCCAACATGGTGAAACCCAATGTCTACTAAAAATACAAAAATTAATGGCCGGGCGCGGTGGCTTACACCTGTAATCCCAGCACTTTGGGAAGCCGAGGTGGATGGATCATGAGGTCAGGGGTTCGAGACCAGCCTGACCAACATGGTGAAACCCCGTCTCTACTAAAAATACAAAAATCAGCTGGGCTTGGTGGCAGGTGCCTGTAATCCCAGCTACTCAGGAGGCTGAGGCAGAAGAATTGCTTGAACCTGGGAGGCAGAGGTTGCAGTGAGCTGAGATCACACCGCTGCACTCCAGCATGGGCGACAGAGCAAGACTCCGTCTCAAAAAAAAAAAAAAAATTACAAAAATTAGCTGGGCGTGGTGGCACATGCCTGTAATCCCAGCTCCTCAGGAGGCTTAGGCAGGAGAATCACTTGAACCCAGGAGGCAGAGTTTGTAGTGAGTTGAGATCACACCATTGCACTCCAGCCTGGGCAACACAGTGAGATTCAGTCTCCAAAAAAAAAAAAAAAAAAAAAACACGTTAGGGTTGTGCACCCTCTACTAAGAGCTGGCTGACTAGTTTAATTCACCAATTGCAGAATTTCTGTTGTATTTAAGGTCTGCTCCATACCACTTGGAATCTAAACATATTTCTCTGCATCAGCCTCTGGTTGTTTCCTGTGGGTTAGTCTTGTGTCCCCACTACCCTGGACACTTTTTGAGGGCAGAGTTTAAGCCTTATACGTTGGGATAAGTCCTATACTCGCTGGCATCAAGCTGGGCTCAGTAATGCTTCCTAGTTGATGGACATGCTTGTTGGTAGATTAGAAAAGATTGATTAAAAGTGTTTTGAAGAGTGGTTGATGCAAAGAACAGGCTATAGGTCTCTCTCTCGCTCTATATATATGTATATATATACATATGTGTGTGTATATATGTATATATACATGTGTGTGTATATATATGTATATATACGTGTGTGTATATATATGTGTGTATATGTGTGTATATATGTATATATGTGTATATATACGTGTGTATATATATGTATATATATGTGTATATATACATATGTGTGTGTGTGTGTATATATGTGTGTATATGTGTATATATATGTATATAATTTTTTTTTTTAGGTGGAGTCTGTCACCCAGGTTGGAGTGCAGTGGTACTATCTCAGCTCACTGCGGTTGTGTCATTTTTTTTTTTTCCTTAAAGCTCTTCGAGGTCAGGCGCAGTGGCTCATGCCTGTAATCCCAGCACTTTGGGAGGCTGAGGCAGGTGGATCATCTGAGGTCAGGAGTTCAAGACCAGCCTGACCAACATGGTGAAACCCCGTCTCTACTAAAAATACAAAAATTAGCTGGCATGGTGGCATGCACCTGCAATCCCAGCTACTCGGGAGGCTGAGATAGGATACTTGCTTGAACCCAGGAGGCGGAGGTTGCAGTGAGCCAAGATTGTGCCACTGCACTCCAGCCTGGGTGACAGAGTAAGACTCCATCTCAAAAAAAAAAAAAAAAAAAGAAAAAGCTCTTCAGCATACAGTTTGAAATATCTTCTTTTACCTTTAAGGAGAACTGGCTTAAGAGAAATTCTTCTCCCAACTCCCAACTGAAGCATTTCATATTAGGTAGCAATTTAAGAGTAATTGATGCAAATGCTAGTGGATAGTTTACCCCAAAGGAGACTCAATAAAATAAAACTCTGTATGTGGGAATAATCTTAGAACTCTGTTATCTCCTCCCACTGTACAGTCTAATTGAAGGAGGCAGTAGGGTGGGAAAATATCAAAAAGACAATGTCAGTTGTTAGTTTTCAAAATTTTGCCTGGGGAGCCATGTAAGAACCATTTCATTTTAGGCTTGTCCATACTGGTTTAATGCAGGGTGAGAGTCAAGTTCAAAGGGGATCTCATTTAGCAGTAGTTTGCTTATTAGTTTCCTCATATGCAATGATCTTTCAAAATGCTTAGAACTGGGGCTTTTTCAGACCAGAGAAAGAGTTGGAAAGAGTTCAAAAGAAGCTTCTCCATCTTTCTTCTCCCAACTGGGGAGCACAATGCAATCATCCCTATAACCAGACCTTCTCCCATCATCAGTAAGTTCTCCTGGGAGGGACACAACACAGTCTCCCTCTGGATCAGATTCCATTTAAATAACAGCTGTTCAGGCTGGGCAACATGGCACAGCCCTTTCTCTACAAAAAATACAAAAATTACCCAGGTGTGGTGGCTTACACCTGTGGTCCAGCTACTTGGGAGGCTGAGGTGGGAGGATTGCTTGAGCCCGGGAGGCAGAGGTTGCAGTGAGCTGAGATTGCTGAGATTGTGCCGCTTCCCTGCAGTGTGGGCAACAGAAAGAGACCCAGTCTCTAAATAAATAAATAAATACTGTCAGAAATCAGAAATGATACCTTCCATCAGCCTACCCTAACACCCTTCACCCTGAAGCTTACTATGGTCATGAATACTATTGCTCATTATCTTCTGTATTTGTGTTCCATTGACTTATCTCTCTGTCTCTCTTCTCCGGAGAGGGTGGATCAAAGAAATGCAGAGTATAAAAGAGCCAAAAATTCAGAAACGTCTGCCTTTGCCTGCTGCAGCCCCCCACAGAGCCTCTCCAAGGGTATTGTTCAAGCCTTCTCAGGAGCCAACTCTTAAATAGAACAAGCAATAGAGAAACACTGTCTCTCCATTAAACACTAGTTGGGAAGGTAGAAAGGGCAACAACAAGAGATTTTGGTTAGATTTAAGGAAGAACTGTGAGGAAGGGAGAACTTGAAGCAAGAGGTTGGAGTCATTGTGAAGCCTTTGCCCCCAGTTGTTAGTCTTGGACGGTTTCATTGTCCACCTGCAGTGAAGCAAATGAACCAAATGACCTCTTGAAATCCCTTTCAGCTACAGTGTCCTTTGATTCTAGAATCCCAGCAAGTTTCCCTTCTGCTCTGGTTGTACTCTGAAGTCCATGTGAATGACCCTGGCTGGCCTTTAATGGCTGGGTCCCTAGAATTTCTCAACTGTAAAACACAGGTGGCTGTAACGGGTGACAAATCCAGGTTTCCAGGAAGCTGGAAGACTTGCAGTTGCCAGGTATCTGCTACATAGCCCGGCACTTTTGAGATGGTTGATGATGGTATGTAGCTCAGCTAATCAACATAGGCCCAGTGTAGAGAGATTGAGCAGAAGTTCTCCAGAGTAGCCAAGGATGTTTTTCTCCAGGAGAATGCATTTAAGTGTTCTTTTGGGTGTCCTGTGAATAAAGGGCCTACTTTTCCAAAAGAGAGTTCTGAGCAGCTTACATTCCATTTCCCCAACACCCTGAAGTGTCTTCTAACTACAGCATGATTAAACATAAGAACAAGGCTGTACTACTCTCTCTCAACAAATACTTCTTTTTTTTTTTTTTTTTTTTTTTTTTGACGGAGTCTTGCTCTGTCATCCAGGCTGGAGTACAGTGGCAAAATCTCGGCTCACTGCAACCTCTGCCTCCCCGGTTCAAGCAATTCTCCTGCCTCAGCCTCCTGAGTAGCTGGGCTTATAGGTGTGCTCCACCACATCTGGCTAATTTTTGTATTTTTAGTAGAGACAGGGTTTTACCATGTTGGCCAGGCTGGTCTCAAACTCCTGACCTCAGGTGATCCACCTGCCTCGGCCTCCCAAAGTGCTGGGATTACAGGTGAGCCACTGTGCCTGGCCAACAAATATGTATTTCTTGACCGATGTTATGGGATGTGTCTCCTGCATTCAATGAAAATGTCAAACTCGATGGCTTTGGGGAAATGACTAGGAAAGGACAGCAGCAGAGAGATCCTTCTGGGAAGTTATAGCATAAATAGAGAGTTGGGTTTTGTAAACCAGCAATCACAACCACAAACCACAAGGCATTAAGAGTGCACAGGAACAGGGAGATGTGCGTCACACATTTCTCTAATGTCTGCTATGGTGGAATACACAAAACAAGTGGCCTTATCTTTGAAAATGAAAGACAGGGCCAGGCATGGTGGCTTATGCCTGTAATCCCAGCACTTTGGGAGGCCAAGGCGGGCGGATCACAAGGTCAGGAGATCGAGACTATCCTGGCTAACACGGTGAAACCCTGTCTGTACTAAAAATACAAATAAATAGCCAGGTGTGGTGGTGGATGCCTGTAGTCCCAGCTACTCAGGAGGCTGAGGCAGGAGAATGGCGTGAAACCAGGAGGCGGAGCTTGCAGTGAGCCAAGATCGTGCCACTGCACTCCAGCCTGGGTAATGGAGCAAGACTCCATCTCAGAAAAAAAAAAAAAAAGAAAATGAAAGACAGATGTCTTCGCAGCTATGACTCAATGGCAGGTTTGCTTGACAGTGGTATAAATCTCTGAGTTGTGTTCCCAAGCACAGCCTGGAACCACACTCCATTCTTCAAGGTGGGCACATAAGTAACTGAGGATAACTAGGTGGTTGGGGAAAGAATAACTATTTCTTTGCACTCCTGCTTGTATAGTAAAAGGAACACTGGATCAGAGTCTGGAAGCCTGGGTACTAGTCCTGGTTCTTTGGCAAATGGTCATTGTCACCTTAGACAAATTACTTGCTCTCTCTGGATCTCAGCTCCCCATCTGTTAGTTAGGGATTCACCTTAACCAGTGGTTATTCAGATGCCGGAGCCCCATCTCAGACCAGAGGTGAAAACTGGACAAGAGGTTTGTAAAATCTTCCCAGGAGATCCTGGTGTGCACACAAAAATAAGAAACACTGTAATAAGAGGTTGTCAAATTCTGTTCTCTATTCAGTCCTGATTTTCAGGTATGTAGTGAAAGTCGACAGTTTCTCACTTATCCCACTCAATCTCAGGTGTGGTCTGGGGCTCATTGCTCATTCATGTACCTGTGCCAGGGAGTGTTTGCCTTGCTTTTGAATGTTTATACTGTATAGTGCTAATGCCAGTGTTCTCAAGCCTTGAATATATTAATAAATAATTAAGATAATTCTATAATCACCAGACATGACCTCATGGGTTACCCTTATTCTAATGGAATCTGCTAAGGATGCTCATTGCCCCTTTTTGGTGATATGATTTATGACCTCAAAAATGCTCTGTGAGGAACTTCTGAGAGAGCCACGTGGCTGAGCTAGATACGTTAAGGAGGCTTCCACCCACAACTCTTTTCTCATTCTGTGCATTTTCCCTGCAAGCGCTCGTATATATCTGTGGGTTCAGAATGGTGGGGAAATTAAGGTAGCATTTGGCTAGGGAGCCCAGGAAAGCCCAGTCCCTGTCCTCTGGCCAATAACCCCTCTCCATGAGGTTCTGGAGGGAAACCATCCTCAGAGAACAATGACTGACAGCAAAGACTACAACCCTGAGACGTGGGCCCCAACCTCCAATACGGAGCCTGTTGGTCTGGGCTGGAGTTCATGCAGAGCCCCCGTGACTTAGGCACAAGGCAACTTTCTTTCTTTTACCCTTTTTCATTAAGTTCACCTTCAAGTTCTGGATCTTACTGTGTCTAGTGGAGAAGAAAGTTGGGGAAACAAGAAGAGGGCATAAGAAAAAGATCCAGGGCAATAGGACATTCATGTCACTTCCAGGAGCAGAGCTGGTCCAAACTGTTCATTCCAGGCCTCCTAAGTGGTGGTGGCTGCAGCCTTTTTGACTCAACAGACAATGGAAGAGTCCAAAGAAAGAATGTCAGAGAGTCAATGAGAAGAGAGCAATCCTACCTCTCCAGCAGTAGAGAATATCCAAATAGAGAAAAAGTGATGGTCTGCCCTCTCCTTTTTATGTCTTTTGCCCATTTTTCTATTTTCTTGTTGATTTGTAAAAGTTCTTTACATATTAAGGATATTAGGCTGAGTTCCCCAGACACAGGCTCTAAGACAGAGATTCCTATTTCAGAGTTTATTGGGAAGTGCCCTTGGCATCAAAACCTAAGGTTAGTGAAAGTAGGATTGGCCAGGAGGAGAAGTTGAATGGCAAAAAAAAAAAGCCTCACTTAGCTGAACCCACAGAGGACTCTGGAGCTGGGATGGCCCTTCACAGTTCTGCCTCAAGGCAAGGGGGCCAGGCCTTTCTTGACCAGTCATTGGATGATGGCTGTTTCCAGGAGGGGCGTGTGACCTCGGGCAAAGTGACTCTCAGCTGTGGACATAATTACAGGAGAGGAACTTAGCATGAGCGGTCAGCCACCAACACTCCTGACAGCTAGGGGATTAACACCCAAATACTGAAAGAGGGATCAGGGTGGCAGACCCTAGCATCCACTGTAGATATCTTTAGCTATCGTAAGTGTTATAGATATGTTTCCCAGTTTGTCATTTGTCTGCCGACTTGTTGTTATTCTTAGTTTGTTTTACTGAGTTTTATTTATTTATTTATTTATTTATTTTTTAGATGAAGTTTTACTCTTGTTGCCCAGGCTGAAGTGCAATGGCGCGATCTCGGCTCACTGTAATCTCCGCCTCCTGGGTTCAAGCGATTCTCCTGCCTCAGCCTCCTGAGTAGCTGGGATTACAGGCGTGTGCCACCACACCAGCTAATTCTGTATTTTTATTAGAGACAGGGTTTCTCCATTTGGTCAGGCTGGTCTCGAACTCCCAACCTCAGTTGATCCACTCACCTCGGCCTCCCAAAATGCTGGGATTACAGGCGTGAGCCACGATGCCCGGCTGGAGTTTTTAAATTTTTAAATCAATTCTTGACCGGGTGTGGTGGCTCATGCCTGTAATCCCAACACTCTGGGAGGCTGAGGTGGGCAGATCACTTGAGCCCTGGAGTTTGAGACCAAGCTGGGCAACGTGGTGAAATTCCGTCTCTACAAAAAAATAGAAAAATTAACCAGGTGTGGTGGTTGGTGCTTGTAGTCTCAGCTGCTCAGGAGGCTGAGGCAAGGGGATTGCTTGAGCCCAGGAGGTTGAGGCCGCAGTGAGCCGTGATTGTGCCGCTGCACTTCAGCCTGAATGACAGAGTGAGACCCTGTCTCGAAAAAAAAAAATAAATAAATACTTTTTTTCTTTATGGTTTCTGACTTTTATATTATTCTTAAGAAAGATAAATGTAATTATCCTTTCCACACCAACATTATTAGAAAAATGTGTATGTTCTCTAGTATTCTCATTTAAATATTGTTCTCATTTAATTAATCCTTTTGGAATTTATTTTGATTTAAGGTATGAGGTAGTATCTTTTTTTAATGATAAGAACCAGTTTTCCCAGCACTGTGTATTTTCTCCATGGATTTAAAAATGCCATCTTTAGCAAAACAAATTAACTATATTGGATTTCATTTGTAGCTCTCTGTGATGTTCCATTGACCTGTTTAAACCTGTACTAGTGTAATACAGGTTTATTTTATTTTTTAGTTTACATACAGTAAAGTTCGCTCTTCGGGGTATACAGTTCTGAGTTTTGCCAAATGCACAGAGTTGTGTAGGCACGGCAGCAGTTCCATTACCTTCCCAAATTCCTTCATGCTATCCTTTCGAAGGGTTCACCCTCAAACCTCCCCACTCTGTTAACCCCTGGAAACCACTGATCTGTTTTCCATCCCTATTGTTTTACCTTTTCCAGAATGTTATAGAAATGGAATCATACAGTATACAGCCTTTTGAATCTGTCTTCTTTCACTCAGCATAATACCCTAAGATGCATCCGTGTTGCTGCATGTATCAATAGTATCTTCCTTTTTATTGCTGAGTATTATTCCCTGGTGTGGACATACCACACACACCACACACACATACCACACATGCCACACACACATACCACACCTACCAGTTTATTCGTTTCCCAACCGAGGGACATTTGAGTTGTTTCCAGCTTTTGGATGTTAAGAATAAAGCTGCTATAAATGTTTGGTTTTTGTGTGAATATAGATGATCATTTCACTGGAATAAATATCTAGGAGTGGGTTTGCAGGGTCACACTTTTAATTACCACATATATGTGAATATTTATGAGTTACATTAATACATGGAGAGAGAAATGATTGTCCATTACCTTTTTATTCTTCTTGTTCTTCCTCTTCTCCTTCTTCTTTTTATCTCATGAGGATATTAACTGAAGTTGCATTAATTTTTTTTTTTTTTTTCCTGAGACAGGGTCTCACTTTGTCACCCAGGCTGGAGTGCAGTGGTGCAATCACTGTTCGCTGCAGCCTCAACCTCCTGGGCCCAGGTGATCCTCCCACCTCAG
The DNA here is from genome assembly GCF_000001405.40 of Homo sapiens. Lineage (NCBI taxonomy): Eukaryota > Metazoa > Chordata > Mammalia > Primates > Hominidae > Homo > Homo sapiens. Next base: position 211,601,822 of record NC_000001.11, read on the forward strand.
CCTTCTGGGTAGCTGAGATTACGGGCGTGTGCCCCCATGCCCGGGTAATTTTTTGTATTTTTAGTAGAGACAGGGTTTCACATGTTGGCCAGGCTGGTCTCAAACTTCTGGGCTCAAGCTATCTGCCCACCTCGGCCTCCCAAAGTGCTGAGATTACAGGTGTGAGCTACGATGCCAGGCCCATTAAATTTGTTGATTAATTTGTGTAGAGAGACACCACTTTGAAGTCCTGATACCACTTACCTAGACAATAAATTCCTGAAACTAAACTGTGAGCGGCCCCAATATCTGATAAACAATTTGGGATTTTGCCAACTGTTCCGCTGTTACAGAGAAGAGCAGGCATCTTTTGCTTTGATTTATGTACTACCAAGTGATTTCTCATCCCGTGAGTACACTGGAACTTTTAGGCTTGAAGGGTCTTAGAGAACTCCCCAGGGTCCTTGCCTGAAGGCAAGATAACATTTTTGGTAGATGAGGAACATACTCTCACCAACTTCTTTCAATAGCTACTTCAAATATCTATCAATCTGTACCATCTGCGTTTCTAACCAAGAATTCTCTTGTTGCATTTTAAATACATTTCCTCCTAGCCTTTCCTGTGAAATGACACTAACAAACTCTTGCCAAACTAGAACTACTTGTTCAAAACCAGCCCCAACTATGGTGCTTTCATAAGGGTAGGCAATTCCAATTATGTTGTTTATCCACTTAAGCACACTGAGTCTCGACTACCTCAGGGACTTTCTTTTAATTTGTTTTCTCCTTTTGTTAATTGGATAAGCTAAGTGAAATGAGGTGTCGCTTATGGAAGTGACTGCAAAGAGGAAGTCACTGCAAATTCATCAATGTGGTATTCTCCAGGACTTATTAATGGCAAAGGGATACAGAGAAAAATCTACACTGTCTGCTCTTTTACCCTGGCAAAAACTTAGCTGCTGCTCCATGCCCCGTGTCAGGAAAGAGCCAATTTCTTTCAATGGCTCACATCATTTTAATCTACCCCTTGGTTTTCAACATACATGGAGTTGATCCACATTATGGTTTTTGAGTAGGACATTTATTCAGTCATGTGTGCTTTTTCATTCAACCTTTATTGAGCACCTACTATGAACAGATCACTTAGTATGTGATATGTCAGTCCTTGACATTAATGTTATTATGCTTGGTTAGAAACTACAATTTGGAGATTAAGAATGAAAGCTCTGAAGGGAAGCCAAAGCTGGATTCAGGTTTTATGGAGACTTCGGCTAACACGGTTTAGGGGGCCTCTTCAAGAAAAAGAATTTTAAAAATTGCAAACACAAAATTAGGCACAGGGCCTTGCAAAGGGCCATGTAAGTGAAGGATCCTGAAACCTCAGCTCATTCCTTTCTCAGAAAATTCCCTCTGAGCCAGGCACACTGTGGTTTAAATCCCAGCAATATGACCTTGGGCAAGTGACTCAACTGCTCTCAGCTCAGTGTCCTCATCTGCAATATGAGAAAATGAGGAGATAATAAAATACACCTGGTATTGGTGTTATGAGGGCTCCAAAGATGAGGACACAAAGCACTGAGCCCAGCATTTAGCCTGGCCTGTAATAGATGTACAATAAATGGTAGCTATTGTTAGGAATATCAGTACTATTGTGAGCTTTCACCCAATAGGATTGCCTAATCACAAAATCTAGCTTCCTGAGCAGAATCTAGGGAAGAGAGGGAATGAAGTCCAAGTTTACACATTCTTGCTAATCCAGTTTGTGGGTATGGTACACACGTGGTGTGCCCGTGAAGCTGAGCCCCACTGCACTACAAGCACACCACATATGGGGCATGGCAAGCGTGCTGCCTGCTGCATTAAATGTCTCCTTGCCCTGAGAACTGATTCATTCTGAGGTCATAAAGCAATTATCTTCAAAACACTATATTAATATCTGATTGTGGAATTAAACCAGACCTGTCTAGGTTTGCCTTCCTTGAGCAAAATGTGTTTATGCAGCATAAGTGAGAAGGGTAAATACAAACTAGACAATTTTTTTCAAAAATGTGCAAGGAGTGGATGGGTGATAAGAAAACAAGAAAGACCATTTGGAAACTATTAAATTACTTCCTTTGTATTTGCACAGAAAATTCCTCTGGTTTTGATGATATGACATTCCTGTAAAGTAGGTAAACATGTTTCCATATTATCAGTTTACAGATTTTTAACTTGGCTTTTCTTTTTTTTTTTTTTTTGAGACAGGGTCTTGCTCTGTCACCCAGGCTGGAGTGCAGTGGCTCAATTACGGCTCACTGAGGCCTCAATATCCTAGGCTCAAGCGATCCTCCTGCCTTAGCCTCCCAAGTAGCTGGGACTACAGGCATGCACCACTGCACTTGGTTAATTTTTGTATTTTTTGTAGAGACGAAGTTTCGCCATGTTACCCAGACTGGTCTTGAACTCCTGGGCTCAAGTGATCTGCCTGCCTTGGCCTCCCAAAGTGTTAGGATTATAGGCGTAAGCCATCATGCCCGACTTCTAACCTTTTTTATTTTCTGTCTTTTTTTTTCTTTTCAAGCCCAGCAATCAACCAAAAAAAAAGGCAAATATTCTCTATCTCATAGGGGTTGCGAGTCAGGTTCTCACTCATGTTTCCCTCTGAGAGAAGAGGACAGGGAAATTGAAAAATAAATTGATAAACAAGTTATCAGAGCAGACTATGGCTTCTTTCTCCCTTTGAAATTTTCTTTTTGAAATCTTGTGGATTTTGAAGCCTGAGCAGTCTGAAAGTCTGACAAACAAACAAAATGTAATTATGCTTCAGTTAGCTAGGATCAGTGGTAGCGCCAATAAATGATTGAGAGGGGGCAAAGATTTAATTTCCCCATGATTTCCAATAGCCACCTTTAGCTATGCCAAATAGCCATGGAATCCAAGCAGAAACAGCATACTTGCTGTGTAAACATGACTTCAAGACAAAACTCCAGCTTGCCTTCCTAACAGATTGCCAGCCCTTCAGCCCCTCCTGTATGGAAACTCATAGGCTAGCAAAGCAGACTTGAACGTTCTGGTAATAGAAGTTAATTGAATTATCTGAGGGCTAATCAGAAAAACTTATTTGTTGCAATCTTTCTAGTAGAAACCCATTCTTAGATGTATTTGTTCAGTTCTTGCCTTAATAGATAGAATGGCCCTAATGAAAACTTGCATGATTCAAAATATTGTTAACACCTCACAGCCATCATCGTGAGTAGTAACATGAAGTATTGCTACGGATTTACTCATTCATCATTTCTTTCACCCAACTATGAGTTCAATAAATATTTGTTGAATGGAATTGAGGGAAGCCCCAAAGGGAGAAGGAGGTGCTGGAAGCCCTACTAGAATCCGGACTGAAATCAGGGCCAAATCTCACAGTCCAGCACAATGGGCAGCACAGAGGAAACATTTGATATATGTCTGCTAATGTAATTAGCTAGTGAGATAGGGGCTGGGGCAAAGACAGTGTTGAACTAACTAGTTCACCAATTTGCTCTAGTCTTGGCTTTATCTGTGTAAGGGTAACTGATGCAAAGCAATAAATTACTTAAATATGATTTAAAAAATCTCCCTGTTCCATTGCTGTTACTTTATGAGCTTTCCAAGCATTCCTTATTATTTAGGTTTATTAAACATCATTAATCTTTTGGAATGGGTACTGTTTTGTAGAAATCTTTACATTCAATAACCTCCAAAGATGTCTCACATGCTTAAAAAAGACAATAGGCATGAGAGTTAGACGAAGAAGTGCATGAAATAGCTAATTCATTCATCAAATGTCTTGAGCATTGCCATGTGCCAGGCTCTGAGGATTCACTAGTGAGCAGAACAAATGTGGCCCCCATACCACAGAGCTACACATGAACATAATAGAAACATAATTACAATCTGGAACTAGATCCCAATAGGGACACAAGCCAGGGAGGGGGCACCTAATTCAGTTTAGGAGGACAGGGAAGTGCTCTTTAAGGAATGACATGAAGTGAAACCTACGTAAGAAAAGGCAACAAATACAGAGACTGTTTTCCGCAGAGGGATCAGCATATAAGACCATGAAGAAGAAAGAAATCTGGTACATTTTAGGAACTTTGCAAAGTGGGGACAAAAAGAGCTGGGTAAGGCAGGGCCTTGTAGTTAAATCCCTGGTCTGGTGTTGATCATAAGGGGAAGGGTCACGTAGAGCTGGCAATGAAAGGCTCCCACAGCCTTTCTGCATTCTCTGCTAACAGAAGTTAGCAACACGGCCCAGTGATTTTTAGTATACATTAAATGCAGCTCTACGTACATCATCCCATGCAGGCCTTGTACGGCATGTGTGGGGGCAGCTGTTCGTTTCCTCTGCAGCTTCCATCTCCATTTTTCCTCCCCAGGAGACCCCTGGTCATGTTCAGGTGGAGCCTCCCGTCCTCTGCTGTCACGTGCTTCAAGGGACACAGACCCTGTTCCTGGGTCCACAGGGGTGGTTCCTGATAGGCGAAGGGTATTAGTAAATGGCATTTCTCCGGGGAATCTTTTTGGGCTAGGGTGAGCACAGGATCTAAAATAGCCCAATCAGACTGAAGACAGAAGCTCAGATTCCATGGCTGGGAAAGTGTCCTTTCTCTCCCTTCCACTGTGCCAGTTACTCACAGTTATCTCTCATCCAAGGAAAGAACCTTCAACCCTCAGGTGAAGCCAACGCCAAGCACAGCAGAGCAGAGAGGTAGAAAGCACCTGGGCTCTCAGTAAAATGGTGGAGCTGCTGAGTCGACCCACCCCAAGGCCTGCCCTTCGTCGCTTACACTTCCTTATTGGTTGAGATCTTGCATTTGCTCCTCCCTTTGGTTCTTTGACACCACAATCGTAGCTCCCGCAACTCTCTGGTAAATCCCTTTCTGTCTCCTTTACTGGGTCCCCCCACACCTTCTAGTTTCTAAATGTGATTTTTAAATAAAAGTTTCTAAACGAAGTTACCTCTGAACATCTCTCCACTTTCTCTCAGGGAGATCTCAGCCACTCCCATGGCTTCCTTCTTTATTTAAAGGTCTGTTCGCCAAATGTTCACATTTCCTTACAACATCTCCAAGTGATGGTCCAGCTTTAATACTTCCAGTAAACTCACTGATAATGCAAATACATTCCAAATTGATATAGTTTCTCTTTAGAGTCAGCGGCTACTCCTGATTTCCCAACTTCAGAAGTAGTTGCTTAAAATGTATGCAAAAGAGCCAGAGGGTGTCTTGCGGAACCCAAGAACAGGAAGTGCATCTAGAAATCTGACCGCCTACGGGCACCCGGGCAGCTGCTCCTAAGCTCTCACTCAGAAGCCATCTCTGCATGGGCTTCCTTCTTCTCCGTTTTGCAGCCTGGCATCTTCATGTGGAAGCATGAGGCCAGCAACAGGTCACCAGCTGGCCCAATCACATCTTCAGCCTCCGAGAGAGATTGAGAGAGACAGAGAGAGAGAGAGAGAGAGAGAGAGAGATCTTTCTTTGCTTTAGTCCCAAGCTGAGGAAGAGTTCCGATTGACCCATCTTGGGTCCGGCGTCCCTAGACAAAGGCTGTGCATTTACACAGTGACCTCCACAACAGCCGTGGAGAGATGAGGGAGCAATGGATGCTTCCCAGGAGGGAAGGGTCCATTCCCAGAAAGGGAGGGAGGGCCAGGCTGCAAAAACAATGGGGACCCAGTACGAACAGGACAGAGGACCTTCCCTGTGAGTGAGGAGACAGCTCTCAGAGAAAGGAGTTATTAATGGTACAGGCAGAAGTTCCATGATTTCACCCAGGTCAGAGACCTTGGAGCCATTTTTGACTCCCTCTGTCAGACTCCCTCTGTCACTGTCCACCCACTTCCCTGATGTCCAATAAGACACTAACTCCTAGTACTTCTTTCTTTCTTGCTTGCTTTTTTTTTTTTTTTCTGAGACAGAAACAGTTTCACTTTTGCTGCCCAGGCTGGAATGCAATGGCACCATCTTGGCTTACTGCAACCTCTGCCTCCCAGGTTCGATTCTCCTGCCTTAGCCTCCCGAGTAGCTGGGATTACAGGCGCATGCCACCAGGCTCAGCTAATTTTTGTATTTTTAGTAGAGAGGGGGTTTCGCCATGTTGGCTAGGCTGGTCTTGAACTCCTGACCTCAGGTGATCCTCCTGCCTCAGCCTCCCAAAGTGCTGGGATTACAGGCATGAGCTACAGTGCCCGACCTACTTCTTCTTTCAAAATACTTTATTGTCCTCCCTTTCTTTGGTTTCTCATTCCAGTTCCTTAGTTTCAGTCCTCATTGCCTCTCCCCTGGGTTCTCTAATCACCCCACTGGTTTGCCAGCCTTTTTTCTACTTTCATCCAATCTATGGTCAGACTAATCTTCCTAAAACACCACCAGGAAGAACTTTCTTCCCAGATCTAAAAACCTTCCAATGTCACCTGGCTGCCTGTAGAACAAAGTCCAAACACTTTGGCTGGTTATTCAGGAATGTCTTCAACTGTCACTGGCATTGTTACTTAGGTTCTCCATATCTGTGGCCTGCGTGGCCTTTCCTAATGGGAGTTCCCCAGCCACATGCCCAGGGTATGATTTTACCCACCCCCTGCCTTAGGAGTGGGGCTCAAATGGCTTAAGCCCACCAACATAGCCCCATCACCCTGGCCCTAGCTACTGGCTGAAGAAAAGACACTGAGCTAGATCCAAGCCAGCCAGCATGTTCTCCAGGCCACAGTCATTGGCTCGGGGGACCACTTGTGAGCCCTGCTGACCCACCAGAGCAAACCTCAGGACTTGTGCTGGTGAGGCTGGGCATAGAGGCTCTTTCTTCTCCTGGACATGAGTGGAGAAGCTTACAGTCCAAGGAGCTGCTGCCAACCATCGTGGTTCTCAAGAATAGCTGCAAACAGGGCAATTGGCCTAAAAACAATTTTCTGAAAGCCAATTCATTGAAAGCCAATTTCTGAATCAATTTGAAAATATAAGCATATTCAGGCTGGGTGCAGTGGCTCACGCATGTAATCCCAGCACTTTGGAAGGCCGAGGCGGGTGGATCACTTGAGGTCACGAGTTCGAGAGCAGCCTGGCCAACATGGTGAAACCTCTTCTCTACCAAAAATACAAAAAAAATTAGCCAGGTGTGGTGGTGGGTGCCTGTAATCCCAGCTACTTGGGAGGCTGAGGCAGGAGAATCACTAGAACCCAGGAGGTGGAGGTTGCAGTGAGCCGAGTTAGTACCACTACACTCCAGCCTGGGTAACAGAGCAAGACTCCATCTCAAAAAAAAAAAAAAAAAAAAAATATATATATATATATATATATATATGTTTATTGACTGTTTTAAAAAAGCATATTCCTTAAATCATGTTTTTGGCAAATTTGTCATTTGGCACATTGGCTTCAAGCCAGGGAGGTGGAGTCAGGACGAAGCCTTCGGAAGAAGAGAGGAAAGACACAAATGCAAGGTCCTTGGTGTGGCTTTGAACTCTGGATTGGCCTTGACTGAAGCCCGCCACACCTCCTGACTTTTCCAAAACATGAGTCAGTCCATTCCTGTTAGAGTTTGACCCAGGTTTGTTTGGGTTTCCTGTTACTGGCAAGTGAAAGCATCCTCACAATGTATTTTTCTGAATATTTCCAAATTCTGATCTTCCAACACTTGGCTCCAACCAAATCAGTCTACTCACCTTGCCCCAGGTCCTCTTCATGCTTTTCCATAGCGTGATCGTTCTCTTCTGCTCCTTCCTTCAGCCCCTCTGCCTGTTTGGCATCCCCCTGGCTTTCCAGACAGGAGCCTCTCCCTGTTCCTGGTGCAGGCCCGGTAGGCTGCTACTGCCCTCCATGCCCCCTGCAGCCCCCAACAACTCCTGCGGCCCTCCATGCCCCCTGCCTTCTCTGCATAGCTGTCCAGCTTCTTTGGTCACTGGGATCAAAAACTCACTGAGTTCCTTCAGAAGGCCAGTGGGAACAAAGGCAGCTCCCCAATGGCTCCTTCCTGCCTTTCATCAAAGGCCTTCTGGTGGCCCCCACATGCTGTTCTATGCTCTCTCTGTGTGCCTGCTCTTGTCCCAGCTCTGCGGACAGGCAGCCTCTTCACCGTTGCTGTTCCCTTGTGACGGCTGTTACCCCCACTTCTACCTCAGGATGTCCTTCCAGCTCCTGTTCCCTCAGCTGATTGTTTCATTTTTCTCCCTGGGTCTAAATCAGACTTCCTGGACACAGTCCAGTGGGAACCACTAATCCTTTTACCCTAGACCAGGCTGGGTCCCTGTGTAGCCTATGGCTGGCCAGACACCGGGTCAAGTGTTCGCCCCTGCTCCAAACACCTGTCAGGAGGTGATGGATTGCGGAGTCCCCTTTGGGGTACCCTTTATATATGGTTGAGAGAAGGGAGGCCTGGCAACCTAGAAATGGATTGTTGGCATGGCGAGACCACCTGGCCTTTCAGGATGCTGTCCCACCCATTTGGCCGTCAATCACACACCCCACTGTGTGCTGTATATGGAGCTATTTAAATGTTTATTATTTAAATATTTGTTATCAGCCAGGCTCGGTGGCTCACGCTTGTAATCCTATCACCTTGGGAGGCCGAAGCGGGCGGATCACTTGAGGTCAGGAGTTCAAGACCAGCCCGGCCAACATGATGAAACCCTGTCTCTACTAAAAATACAAAAATTACTCGGGCGTGGAGACACATGCCTGTAGTCCCAGCTACTGGGGAGGCTGAGGCAGGAGAATTGCTCGAACCCAGGAGGTGGTGGAGGTTGCAGTGTGCCGAGATCATGCCTCTGCACTCCAGTCTGGGCGACAGAGTGAGACTTCATCTTTTAAAAAAATGTTTTTTAGCTACACTTTTTGTACGTTTGTTTATCTCCTTAACTAGATCATTAGTATTATTATTATTTTTGACTCCTCCATAGACAGAGCAGGGCTACCCCATACATAGAGTAGCCCGACTAGATTATAAAATTCCTTAACAATAGAGATGATGACACTAAATTTCTATAATAAAATGATAACAATAAGCAATAGTTACTGAGCATTTACCATGTACCAGGTACAGTTCTAACTGCTTTATAGAACAATTAAAAACACCTCGGTGTAAAGCCCCATCTATCTTATCCCCACTTTACTGATGAGGAAGTTGAGGCCATGACTCACAACCAGTCACAGGGCTGGTGATTTGCACCCAACCAGTTTGATTCCAGAATCTATGCTCTTAGCACATTGCCCCTTCTCCTGTTGGTGCTGACTACACATTTATTGTGATGAAAAGGAAAACTACCCTCTCTCTTTATGTTGGGTTAGTCCTCACCGACCAATGTGTTCTATGAACACTTACTTTTTGGCCAAAAGCCTCCCTTTCACAGCTAGGAAACTAATGCCAGAGCAACAGAGCAAAAGACAATCCATTCTGAACCAAAACTCCCTCTTGGCTTGAAGCGAGCTCATCAGCCAGATGCTCCACCTCCCTCCCATGTTTTCCTGGCACTGCTTTGTAGAAATCTGGATCCAGGGGCCGTGTGCAAGGTGGCTTCCGCAGGCACAACCAATTGCCAGACAGACGTGTAGGCTGAAGCGCCAGCCAGCAAATCATTTCAGCCACTTTCATCTTCCCTGCATGCCAAGTTCAGGGGGCAGGGGAGGGGCATCTTAGCCTGGATTCCCCTTGACTGGTGTTGAGGTATCCTGGAGCTAGGGGCTGAGCTATTCGCACCCCAGCAGTCAAACCATTAACCCATGGTCCGCTGGGTCCCCAGGGTCACCCCCTGCCAGAGGCAGCTGCACCTCCCTCTCTCCGACCTCTCTGCCAAGGCTGGAAAATCAGCAGGCTGTTTGGCTGTTTGGGGCTGTGGATGCTTCCAACCAACCTCCTGAGGCAGAAGGGCAGGTTTGCCCACTTTACAGATGGAGAGATGAAGGCAGACAACTTATTTCGGGCCACGCAGGTCTGGATGGTTGTCACGGGGAGCACTGAGGTTACCTCCTCTGTCAAGGTCTCATCTAGCTCTAAGCTTTCTCTCCCTCTCTCTTCCTCTCTTCCCAGCACCCGACTCCCTGTAGGCCAAGCTTTCTGTTTATCACCAAGACCCCCTTCACCTCACTCTCCCTTTTTCGCAAAGCCCTCCCATGCCCTGGGAGCCTTCTGAATCCTGACTTGAGCATAAAGGAGTTAGGGGAAAAGAGAAGAACTGGGTGAGAGGGGGGATGGAAGAGGAAGCAGAGATTCAGCTGACAGTGTCTAATGGTGGAAGGCATGTCTCAGGCCCAGAAAAGCCACACCATGGCCTCTGTTTTTCTGTGCAACAGTGGCCCTGCCAGGGAGACGGTGTGGGGAACCTGCAGGGAAGCTTTTCTAACGAAAGGGATTGGGGAGGACTTCTAAGGGAGAGAGGGAGAAAGTCCTCAATTCAATCTCTTCCCCCTTCTCTTCCCGCAACCTGTTTGTCTACTGACTTCTTTAGCTGCTCCTCTGTCATTTCCTGAACAGATCAACATTTTCTGAACAGGCACAAGATATTAACTAGGAAGCTCAGGTGTGGAAGAGCAGAGACCTCGGAACTCACCCCACCCTGTCCAAAACTTTTTCTTTTTTTTTTTTTTTCTTTTTGAGATAGGGTCTTGCTCTGTTCCCCAGGCTGGAGTGCAGTGTCACCATCATGGCTCACAGCAGCCTCGGACTCCTGGACTCAAGCGATCGTCCTTCCTCAGCCTCCCAAGTGGCTGGAACTATAGGCATATGACGCCATGCTGAGCTAATTTTTAATTTTTTTTGTAGAGATGGGGTCTCATTATGTTGCCCAGGCTCTACACTATCTTTTTATAGCTGAGGAAACTAATGCTCAGAGAGGAGTGTATCTTGACCAAGATCACACAGCTTATGAGTGATAAAGCTGAGATGAAAAAGCATGTTCTTTATACTATATGGGGCTGTCTTATTCATCCACACATACAAGATGTCCCCATGGAGAGCATGCAGGGGAGTCTCCCAGTACAGTGACTGAGAACCAGGGCTGCTTCTTACCTCTTCAAGCCTGCCCAGGGGGCCTCAACTTGTCCTGCCATGGATTCTACTTCACCCAGTCACTGTGGGAGCGGAAGACACTCCCAAAGCAGGTCATTCTGTGAAGGCTATGCCCAGAGAGGCAGCCACGGCCCTCCTCACAACACAGCCCAGATGCTCTCTGCAGCCCTTGGCCTGTTTGCCAGGCCGGGTTCTGCTTATGCCCTGGAGTGAGCAATGCCCAGGGCCTACAAAGCCTGTTCCCGTGCAAACTCGGCTACTGGCTGGTGCTGTGCTTCCTGCCCTGCAGGCTGGGCGCCTTGAGGGTTCTGCATCCTCCTCCTCACCACTACCAACAGCTTCTCATCTGGCAACTGGGTGGAGATCCTGCGGACCCCGCTGGACCACTGTAAGAAGAGCTTCACCTCAGCCTTGCTCTCTGACCAAAACTGACAGGCCACCATTTTGAAATGCTGACACATCCAGAAGTGACAGAATGGAAACTCCAGCACTCTCTGGGCACCAGTCAGTGTCCAGCACTGTTACTTCAGGGTCTGTGAGGAGAGTGCTGGTGGCGTGAGAGTGAGAATGAGGGGTAGGGCAGCAGGCTTGTAGTCAAACTGCCTTAGAGAAAGACACCATGAGCGTCCCAGGAAGAGGCTATTAATAGGCCTCCCTGAACATGCTCAGCGGTCCTGGGCTGGGGCTGTGAGAGCATGAGTCAGCAGATGGAAGGGCTGATGGTGAGCCCAGGACACAGAGCCAGCTCCCCACAGGGGAAGTGGAGGCTGTGAGACTGCACTTTTGAGCAACCCTGGTCTCGTGCCGCCCCACCCTCTTTTGAGTATGTAATCTGTTTGGATGGTATATTACCAGTGTTGTAAATTCCAATTCTGGAGCCAGAATTTTTTTTTTTTTTTTTTTTTTAAGAGACAGAGTTTCACTCTGTCACCCAGGCTGGAATGCAGTGGTGCAATCCTGGCTCACTGCAGCCTCAACCTCCTGGGCTCAAGCAATCCTCCCACCTCAGCCTCCCAAATAGCTGGGACTACAGGCACGTGCCACTATGCCTGGCTAATTTTGAAGCCAGAATTTAAAGCAGCAAAAAATCCAGAAAATCCTTTCCCCCCACTTACCCTCTCTTACTTTCTCTTCATTGACAAAGCTGGGCACAGGAAAAAGGACTCCATCCCCTGCAATGTGAAGGGCTGCTCAGCCATTATGAATGCCCCTCTCCACACCTACCCAGCCACTGACTCACTCCGGGACGAGCTCCCAATGTAGATTAAACATATGTTGAGTGCCAGGCCCTGTGACGGGCGGTTTCACACATATTATCTCATCCTCATAATGACCCCGGGACACAGATATATTGATATCTCACTTTCACAGATGAAGAATCAAAGCTGAGAGTGATTAAGCTATTTGTCCAAGGAGCTGTAGCCACTGTCATTTATCAAGTATCTAACAGATGCCAGGGACTTGCATACAGTTTTTTCTGTTTGTTTGTTTTTGAGACAGAGTTTCCCTCTTGTTGCCCAGGCTGGAGTGCAGTGGCACACTCTTGGCTCACTGCAACCTCCGCCTCCCAGGTTCAAGCAATTCTCCTGCCTCAGCCTCCTGAGTAGCTGGGATTACAGGCACCCACCACCATGCCCAGCTAATTTTTTGTATTTTTAGTAGAGACGGGGTTTCACCATGTTGGCCAGGCTGGTTTTGAACTCCTGACCTCCGGTGCTCCACCTGCCTCAGCTTCCCAAAGTGCTGGGATTACAGGCGTGAGCCACTGCACCCAGCCTCACAGTTTCTTTAAGGAAGTTAAAGGTCCTCACTTTACTGATGAGGAAACTGAGGCTCAGAGGGGCTGGGCAGCCTGGGAAGTGGCAGCACCGTGCGTGGGTCTGCCTGCCTCTCAAGCCTACGCTGCCTCCAGGCTACAGGGCAGCCGGGACTCCAGCCGCATCTCTGCCTCTAAGTCCACCACACCCACGGCCTTCCTGGCGAAGGACGGCCTTGTGTGCCCTGACTGAACACCTATCAGTCTATGGTACCCGTTGTTATCAGAACCAGCAGAGTGACCTCAGGGCAGATCTTCCTATCTCGCACATTACACCTGTGCACCTCCGTCCTTCTGAAAGGAGACAGCCTGGCAGGCTGATTCCAAGGTCAGGAGAGTGGAAGTTAAAAGAACCTAAAGGGAACACTTTTCAGTGGCCTAAAGGGGACACTTTCCTGCCATCAAGCCCATGGCCATGTGAGCAGAGCTTCCTGTCAGCCCCAGATTTGACTGCAGTGGCCTTAAAGGAAACAGACATAACATCTACCTGCTAATTTCTATCACATCACAAAAGTTCTGTGGTTTGTGGTTGGTAAATTTAGATATGGGAATATTCGACTCCCAGGAAAGGAATATACAGAGGGAATTATGGGGAGATGAAAAAGGGTCTCCAATGGGTATTTTAACTTTTGATTTTTTTTTTTTTTTTTTTGAGATGGAGTCTCGCTCTGTTGCCCAGGCTGGAGTGTGGTGGCACAATCTCAGCTCACTGCAACTTCCACCCACCGGGTTCAAGCAATTCTCGTGTCTCAGCCTCCCAAGTAGCTGGGATTACAGGCACCTGCCACCATGCCTGGCAAGTTTTTGTATTTTTAGGAGAAATGGGGTTTTGCCATGTTGGCCAGGCTGGTCTCAAACTCCTGACCTCAAGTAATCCACCTGCCTTGGCCTCCCAAAGTGCTGGGATTACAGGCGTGAGCCACTGCACCCGGGCAAAACTTTTGGTTTCTAAGATGCTGCAAGTGGTGGGGACAATGGTGAGTCAAGGATGTTTTAATGCATCCTTGAAAAGGTGGGATGAGTCTTTCTTCAGCCAGTTTCCCCAAGTGCCATTGGCTGGGGAAATCAACAAAAGCCATTTGGCTGAGTGCCGTGGCTCACTCACACCTGTAATCCCAGCACTTTGGGAGGCTTGAGGTCAGGAGTTCGACACCAGCCTGGGCAACATAGTGAGACCCTGTCTCTAGAGAAAAAAATAAAAAATGAAATCAATAGCTCTTCCTCTTCCTGTCTATACTCTGCTTTAATTTTTTTCATAGCCCTTTTCTCTAACTCACATTGCATTATATGTGTTTGTGTATGTATGTGTATATATATATATATATATATATATATATATATATATATATATACCCCTGTTTATTTTTTTATTTATTTTCTATCTCTCCACTCCCCTGTAAGAATGTAAGCTCCACAAGGACAAGGACTGTGTTTCTTGTTCACCACAGTTTCCCAGGGACTAGAAACATAAGAAGCCTTCAGTAGAGATGTGCTAAATGAATGAGTGAGTGAAGGAGTGAATGCACCCTGAGGGGTAGTTTAACCCCCTGTAAATATCTTCCATGTCAGTTTCTCTGAGGAGTGGGTGTCAGAACCCACAGTCCTCTGAGCCTGCACCCCCTCTCAGCATGAGCCAGAAGAGAGTCTCCTTGGGCTCTGCTCTCTGGGGTAAGGGAGACAGGCTGGTGCTTGTGATAAGCCTTCTGTTGGGACCTACCAAGCCCTGAGCAGAGGATGGAGGAGACACAATTCCCACCGCATCCCAAGGGAATCCCCACTCTTGTGAGTTTCCTGACAGGAATGGGGCAGGGTCTGCAGCCAGTCGTCAAGAGCAGGGAAGCTTTCAGAAAGGGCCACCGCCAGTGATTACGGGCCATTCAGTTGTCCACCCCCAGCCTAAGCCCCCTACAGCCCTGCTTCGTTAACCAGTTTTCAGAGCGACAGCTAAGCTGCATGTACACAGGAGGCAGACACCAGCCTGTTGTCTCTGTTCCCAGGCCCCAGGATGACAAAACACTTGGTGTGTTCAGATGAAAGGGCTCTCATTGCAAAGGGCAGGATTGCCAATCCCACTGAGCTCCCTGGAATGGAAAGCTGGACTCTCCGAACTCGTGATTACCACTGTTGTGGAGATTAAAGACTTCCTGTCGGAGAGAGCAGTCCTCCCGAGCCAAATAACACTAAGGCCTGGCCGGCGGCCATCTTGTGGGGCCTCCCTGGCAGCCAGAGCTGGAGGGACTTGGCTCCCTTGTCGAAGGCTAACCTGCTTGAGGCAAAGTCAAGGTGTTTGGGCCAAAAACAGTCCCTGAGGGAGCCTTGGGCTGAGGCCTGGGCACTCTGTTGGCCTCCTCAGCCCCAGCCCGACCCACCTTGTTGAAAGCAGCTGCTGTGGCACATCCAGTGGGAGTAGGCCAAGGTCCCCGCTCACTTGCCTTTCCTGAGGATTTCTGATGTGTGTGGTGAGGTGGAAGAAGGGCATGCTGGGGAAGCCAGCTCAGGGGAGCCTGGGGGATAGGGGAAGGCCATGGCTTCCTCGTTTGCTCCACCAAGAACCTGAACCAGTCAGACCCTAGGCGGCTGGTGCATGTGACGAGCACTCCCTGTTGAGACCTACAAAGTCCTGAGCAGAGGATGGAGGAGACACAGTTCCCTTCAAACTGTGCCCCAACCTGGCTAATGATCAAAAGCATCTAGAGCTCTTAGTAAAAAAGCAGATATCAGGCCGGGAGCAAGGGCTCACACCCTGTAATCCCAACACTTTGGGAGGCCAAGGCAGGAAGATTGCTTAAGGCCAGGAGTTTTTGACCAGTCTAGGCAACAAAGTGAGACCTCATTTCTACAAAAAGTTAAAAAATCAGCCACCAGGCATGGTGGTGCCTGTGGTCTTAGCTACACGGGAGGCTGAGGCAGGAGGATTGCTTAAGCCTGGATGTCGAGGCTGCAGTGAGCTGTGTTTGCGCCATTGCACTCGGGCCTGGGTGATGACAGAGGAAGACCCTGTCTCAAAAAACAAACAAACAAACAAACAAACAAACAAACCATACCTCAGGCCATACCCTGTGAGTTCTGGCTCACTCTATCTCAGGTAGGTCCTAAAAATCTATTTTTTTTAAGAAGATAATCGTGGTGTGCCTGCTCTGAGTGCCTGTGAACAGGGAAAGTAGAATGGGGCACTGGGCGAGGGTCAGCAAACAGGATTCTGGCCTCTGTTCTTTCAGATGACTTTGGGAAAGTTACTTTGCTTCTCTGGGCCTCAGTCTCATCAGGAAAGCACAGAGGTCGAACAATGTGTCCCCAGTCTCAGAGTGTGGCTCAAGGGGATGTGTCACCGTGCATGGCCATGGTCCCAAGGAATGCTCTGATCTCTAGGCCACCTTTAGCTGGAAGGAGAACCCCTTAGAAGGCTCTGATAACAACAGTGACAGCCGGCATCACTGATGTAGAGCCAGGCTCTGAGCCTAGCACTTGATCTGCATTGTCTCATTTTGTCTTCACAACCAACCTTTGGAGGCCACACTTGCCCATAGAATTCTCTGAAATAATGGAAATATTCTGTCTGCACTGCCTGAAAACAGTGACCACTAGCTACCTGTGGCTATTGAGCATCTGAAATGTGGCTAGTGCAACTAAGAAAATGCATGTTAAATTTTATTTAATTTTACTTGAATTTAAATGGCTACACATGGCTGGGCACAGTGACTCACACCTGTAATCCCAGCACTTTGGGAGGCCAAGGCAGGTGGATCACCTGAGGCCAGGAGTTCAAGACCAGCCAGGCCAACATAGTGAAACCCTGTCTCTACTAAAAATACAAAAATTAGCCGGGTGTGGTGGCAGGCACCTGTAATTCCAGCTACTTGGGAGGCTAAGGCAGGAGAATCACTTGAACCTGGGAGGCAGAGGTTGCAGTGAGCAGAGATCACGCCATTGCACTCCAGCCTGGGTGACAAGAGTGAAAGTCCATCTCAAAAATAAATAAATAAATAAATAAATAGCTACACATAGCCAGTGGCTACCATATTGACCAGCATGACTCCAAGATGTGGCCTAGTAGTATTTTCATCTGACGGACGAGAGAACAAGATTAGAGAGGTGAAGTGATGTGGTAGAGCTGGGATTTGAATCTGGATCTGAGAGGGACTCCAGAAGTGGTTCTCCTAATCACTGTAAAGTCCCACCAAGTCTGGACGGCAGGACTCTAGTCCCAGCCCTGTGCCTGAGGAGCAGGTTGACACTTCTTTCAGCCGGGGGTAGTGTCCAAGGTCCTTCTAGCTTGGACACCCCTGACCAGTGTATTTGGGGTGAGGCATGGAGAGAATAAGGGGAATGCAGTTGCCTGGTGTCTACAGCCTCCCAGACACAGAGGCATCTGTGTCTGCCCACCCAGGTCCCTCCTGCCACAGTTCTCACAAGTCACTGGTCTCCTCCATGTCCCAAATGTTAGATGCTTCTAAAGATGGACTACTCCTCATAACACTTCTACGATGTAAGTAGTATCATACCCATTGTACAGCTGCAGAAACTGAGCTTCAGAGCAATGAAGTAACTCATCCAATTTCCCACAGCACAGGGAGTGGTAGAGCCCAGAATTGAACTCTGATCTGTGTGATCCCAGAGGCTGAGCCCTTCACCTCTGCCCTGTGTGGTCAGAGGGTTGAGCTGAGGCCCCAGGAACCTAAGCAGCTGAAAGTCTGCTTTGTTACCAAGACACATTCATCCCCAGCAGGATCCTCTCACCCTGCCTGAATCCAAAAGGGATTCTGTTCTTCCACCAAAGGCCTGGCTTCTGGACCCACCTAGGCCCATGAAGACTCTGGTGTACAGGAGTCTCTAGCTGGAGAACCAAAGAGGAGGAAGAAGCTGCTAGGGACTCTGTGGGCCAGCCCTTCCCACCTCCAGAGCCCAAACATACCCTGTGTGGGGCTGAGAGGAAGCAGAGGCCTCAGTGGCCCAGGCAGTGGGCTTGATTCCTAAGGGGCCACACTGTGCTCTCAGCTTCAAGGCAACGTCCTGCCTGCAGGCCAGTGTCCCTGTTGGAGCCTGTCAGGGACTCAAAGTCCTGACAAAGCTCAAAGGCGAATGTCTCCTATATCTGGAGAGGCTGAAACTGCCCTCACCAACAACAGTGAGACGTATGCTCTGTTCACACTGGCGGCTTGGGGCCTGGGGTCAGCTTCACAGAGTCCCACAGGGTCCCACAGGCAGTGACTACACAGTGCACTTGTGTGCACCTGCAGGCACACGCACATTCTTGGGATGGAAGTCAGAGGCAGAAGGCAAAGGCCGGAAGCCATCAGTCCCTTTAGCCACAAAGGATCCACTCTCTAGGCAATTGGAGAAAGAGCTCCAGAATGCTGGACCTTCCGGAAACAGTCTCTGCATCCCACCAACCGTGGCTCCAGGAGAGCACCAGGATCAACTGCAAGGGGACTTTGTGGGGAACACAGGGCCCAGCAGGTTGGGGAATCTCCTCACACACTCACACTCACTGTATATACACCCATTCACACCTACCCACACTCACCACACACAGGCTCACCTCCACACACTGCCGCACATAGGTCATGCACATACTGCAGACACCAGCACGTGTGTTCACACACACACACCCCATGCTCACATATGTTCTCATGCATACATTCACACATACACACACACACGCACACACCCACACACACATTCACACACAACCCCACACTGGCTCACACACATGGCACACATACACATTCACAGTCACTCATGCAGACTCAGCACAGGTTTGAGCCAAGGAGTGGCATAGAGACAAGACCTTGTTCATTTATAGTTTCTGTGAGCGTGGGGGAAGTAGGGCTCTGCCCCCTCCCGCCCTTGGAGGTGTTCAAGACAAAGGGATGCAGAGAAATACCCAGGAGGGCTTCCCCACACCAGCAGGGAGGCACCCAGCCTTGGTGGGCTGGCCTGGGCCACCTCCAGAAAGGTCTCAGGAGCTGCCTTTCTCCCCGTTTGTCCGAGGATGAACTGGGCCTTCACTGCTGCTCCTGCCCCTGGGGCTCAGGTCGGGGCTGGACACCACCACAGTCACCCCCCGGTCACGGCTTCTTGGAATTGCTGGGGAAGGGGAGGTGGCACTGGGGAAGGGGAAACACCGATTTCTCAAGGGCTTATGAAAAGCACATAAATGGAAAGAGCTTCTCAAGTTGCTGCTCTTTTCTTGAAGACAATTCTGTCTTCACCACAAGGTCTCTGGGAGCCATATCCCTGTGTCCCCTTTATGGTCAGTCCTGCCCCCACCCCAATATGAGCCCGAGGAAGGTCTTCCCGCCTAATCAGCCAGAGACCCTGAGCCCCCAAGAGGTTTGCCACAGGAAGCCTACCTACCCACCTTCCTGGGGCCTCCCAAGACCCCCTCCCCCGCCCCCGCCACCCCATAAGCACAATGTTGTAAGCTTTGGGTGAGGTTGGGGGCTCTGGAACCAGGAGCAGGAGGTGCTCCTGGGCTGGCTGTGAGGCAGCTGGGCCTCCGGGTCCTGGCATCCACCCTCCAGACCATTTATTTCCTCAAGCTCCTTCCCAGGCAACTCATCCATCTGGGCATGCCCAAGCCACCCTGCGTTCAGGCCCCCCTGCGCTCAGGCCCAGCAGCCATGGCCCTACAAATAGGACCTATGTATTTTGTATGGTCCCTGGATGTTCACAGGGCCACAGCCCTAGCCTCGGATCCCCCATGTCTGGGCCCATCCGCCCATTGTTCCTGCCTGACTGTGTTCTTGCCAAGAGCTGCCACAGGGAGCCAGTCGGAGGAGGTTCCGATAGCTTCTTCATGCATCCTGGAGGAAGCCAGTTCCGCTTCTGGATTCCCGGCCACGACTTCCCAGAACTCAGCATCTACACCTCCAGCCCAGCCCTGCTGCACAAGAGCATGGCTAAGAGAGGACTGATGACTTCTCAGAGAAGGGCCTCCCCACCTCCTGGGAAGCAAATGGGAGAACCTATGCTCTGACAGGCCAGTTGCTTCTGACAGGAGAAAGGGGGAATTCCAGTGTCACCCATCATTGGCCAGTGACTTCACAGATCAGTTTGGCTCCGGGACCGTGCCTGGCAGAACGCCCTGATGAAGCCCAAGCCTCCTCTGTGCTTGCCATAGCCTCAGCCTCAGAACAGGCAGCACAGACTTTAGGCCCTGGCCCCAATGTTAACATGTGTTTTTCTTTCTTTAACCCTATAATGGATCAGCAGCAACTCCTTGCACCCTGGAGCCTCCCTTCACCCACCCTCCACCCCTTTACTCCTGCTGCCCTCACCCTCTTGGGCTGGCTGTCTGGGCTGGTTGTTAATGAGACTTTGCATTTCTCATGCTCACTTTGATCCCAATTTTAACCAGTCCAGCCCTCCCCAGTGGGGTCCCCGGGTCTGGAGTCAACTCCTCCCTAGGGTGAGTCTATGGAAGAAGTAGGAAGGCTGCAGAGAATTCGGGTCTCTCTTTGCTTGCCATGGGTCTCAAACTCTTATTGGGATTCTGTGATACTTAGGGAGTTGGCAATGGGTCCCTTCAGAGTGCAGAAGCGGGGCATGTCCCACCATGCTAGGCAATGCTACTTATTCATTCATTCACTCATTCATACAACCAACAAATATCTACTGAGTGCCAACCTAAGGAGGCAGTAGTCTAATGTGGGGACAGGCCCACAAACAGAGATCAAATTCAATGGAAGCACATGGTTAAGGAAGGTAAGACCCTGCTGCTTATTCCTGGAGAAATGTCAAATAATTTACTTACAGTCTCCCAGACTGTAAACTCCTGGAAGGTGGGCACCATATCTAATTTTTTGTTTCCAGAGCCTAGCACTACGTCTAACACACAGGATTTCCTTAATAAAGGATTGATGAACTGGGCATGGTGGCACATGCCTCTAGTTGCAGCTACTTGGGAGGCTGAGGCAGGAGGATTTCTTTTTCTTTTTCTTTTTCTTTTTTTTTTAAGACGGAATTTTGCTCTTGTTGCCCAGGCTGGAGTGCAGTGGTGCGATCTCAGCTCACTGCAACCCCTGCCTCCTGGGTTCAAGCAATTCTCCTGCCTCAGCCTCCTGAGTAGCTGGGATTACAGGCCCGTGCCACCATGCTCGGCTATTTTTTGTATTTTTAGTAGAGATGGGGTTTCATCATATTGGCCAGGCTGGTCTCCAACTCCTGACCTCAGGGGACCCACCTGCCTTGGCCTCCCAAAGTGCTGGGATTACAGGTATGAGCCACCACGCCCGGCCTGCAGGAAGATTTCTTGAGGTTAGTAGTTCGAGGCTGCAGTGAGGTATGATTATACTTGGAGCCACTCATAGCAAGACCACATCTGTAGAAAAAAAAGATTGATGGCTGGCTGAACGAATGAATGCATGAACTAATGAAAGTATTGAAGTTGTAGACCCATGGGCCATGCCCTCTGGAAGGAGGCCTCCATCTCCGGAAGGGCAGATAAGTACACTCCTGCCCACCCTCCTTTTAAAAAATGATTGAGTACAGAATTACAGGTTTTCACACTTTACAAGGGAGAAGGTTGGATGCTAAGAAACTCCAGGCAAAAGTGAGGGTTTGTAGCTGTTGGAGAGAGAAGAGGCAATGGTGGCCTTGGTGTTTATTTAAATGTGAATGGAGTGTGAGCAGGATGGGCAGTGAGCTTGGGGTAACTCACATTCTCATGCTCCTCCAAAACCTTTCAGAAGAATGCCGTTTGGTCATGGTCTTTCTTATCCTTCCAGCAGCCCCCGGCACACCTCTACATCATCTGTGAGTGTGTGCATGTGTAAATATATCAACCATCACAAAACTCAGTTCAGTTCTATTTAACCCAAGAGTTATCAAACTTTTACCAAGGGCCTACTTGTGATAAATATATCAATAAGACACAGTCATGGTTCTCAAGCCCCTGCTCACAGCCTAGTGGGTCTGGCAGACAAGAAGCCAAAATGTTAAGTACAGGGTGGTCCAATGCTCAGCAAATCTGATCTGTCAGAATAGAGTCTATTGAGAAATGGAAAGCCCCATGAGGACGGGCGCTTGTCAACCTCATATTTCCAGCCCAGGCAAAGCACCCCACAGAGACAGAGTACAGGCTCAATGAGAGTAGCTTAAACAAATGAGTACTGAGTGTGAGCTGATTTCAAAGAACCAAAGGAAATAGTCAAATCAAGATAAGAACCAGAACAACTGGCCCCAAAGGAAATGAAGCTAATTCAAGGAACTCTATGATAATTTTAATTTGTAACTTCAGAGCAACCGAAGAAGATATGAATGGAGGCTATAAACCAAAAGCAGGTTGATGTGGAATAGGAACAATTAAAGAAGAAGAAAGTTTCTTGGAAATTAAAAGTATAATCGCTAAAATGAAAGATTTACTACAAGGGCTAGAAGAAAAAGGTCAATCAATCTCCCAGAATATAAGCCAAGAAGACAGAAATGGAGACAGAGAATCAACCTAAGAAGCCCAAACTCCAACAGAGAAAATAAAAGAGAAGAAGTTATCAAAGAAATAATGAAAGAAAGTTTTCCAAATCTGAGAAAGGACTGAAACCTTCCAGTTTGAAGGGGTCCATCCAACAAATACCATGAAAGAAAAATGGGTGGGGGGAAAGCCCACGTCATAGGTATATCTTCATTAAATCACTGGGGTCTTCATATGCAAATACAAATGCTATTTTGTCCACAGACCATTAGCAGCTCCCATCTGCCATACTTCTTGTGGTGGACAGTGTCCTGAGCCATTCTAGCCCAACAATAAGCTTTGTGGGCATCTCTGTCTACATGAAAGAGCAGACATATGCTTGTATAGACATCATCCCTCACCTGACTTGGTTTTTTCTAAGGGCAATAAAGCAAATAGGCTGCAGTTTGCTTATCTATTTATACTCATATTGTCATTTCCCTTGCAACTGTCCCCCCAACACTAAGTAACTTTCCATAACCTTCTTCTGAGAGGTTAAAAACATGGACTCTGGGCCGGGCGCGGTGGCTCACGCCTGTAATCTCAGCACTTTGGGAGGCCGAGGCGGGCGGATCACGAGACCATCCTGGCTAACACGGTGAAACCCCGTCTCTACTAAAAAAACAAAAAATTAGCCAGGCGCGGTCGCAGGTGCCTGTAGTCCCAGCTACTCGGGAGGCTGAGGCAGGAGAATGGCACGAACCTGGGAGGCGGAGCTTGCAGTGAGCCAAGATCGCGCCACTGCCCTCCGGCCTGGGCAACAGAGAGAAACTCCATCTCAAAAACAAAACAAAAACAAAACAAAACAAAACAAAAAAACATGGACTCTGCAGCCACACTGTCTGGGTCTGAATCCTGTCTCTGCCTTTTACTAGCTTGGGCAAGTTATTTAACTTCTCTGTGCTTCAGTTTTCTCATCTATAAAATGAGAATGAAAATAGTACCTACATCTGAAGGTCACTGTGAGGATTCAATCATTAATGTCTTAAGTGCTTATAACAGCCCCTGTTCTAAAAATAAGCACTAGATGAGTGACTATTATTACTTAAAGGCAAATAAGTAACCAATAGAAGAATTGCAAAATATCATCAAAATAGTCAGGTGAATGGAGGAGTGCGGTGGGGAGTGAGCAGTGCTGGAGATGAGCTAGGTTCCTGGTCTTCCAAGCCATGGCATTGGTGCCCCCTGTGGATGACAGACCAATATGTGCTGCTTTAAGTGCACCATTTGTAGCTATGGAAGGGATCTTCAGTAGAACTAAAACCAGAAAAGATGATTCCCTCTGGAGGTGGGACTCAGGGTGCCGGGGGAAGATTTCTCATTTTAGGCCCTCTGTGCTGTTTGATTTTCATATATATATATATATATATATGTATAAAATAAACACACACACACACACACATATATATATATATATATAACTTGTATGCTTTAAAGACAAGTAGTCTTTCAGTTTTAAAGAAGTTGCTAACAAAGCCTTCCAGGGCCAGTTGTATGCTGCAGCGGGCTCCCATCGGCTCATGATTTGAAAATCCATGGGCCGTGGTGGAAGTATTTACACCAAGGGACTTAGCAAATGCTACAAGTCAGGGCTTTCTATACAGAGACTTGGTTTCTCAGCACGTCACTAGAAAAGCCAGTTATCCCTATGGTAACTTAATCTTTTTGACACCTCCTGCTTAAAACTCCAAAGATCATTCAACCATTGTGGAAGTCAGTGTGGCGATTCCTCAGGGATCTAGAACTAGAAATACCATTTGACCCAGCCATCCCATTACTGGGTATATACCCAAAGGACTATAAATCATGCTGCTATAAAGACACATGCACACGTATGTTTATTGCAGCATTATTCACAATAGCAAAGACTTGGAACCAACCCAAATGTCCAACAATGATAGACTGGATTAAAAAAATGTGGCACATATACACCGTGGAATACTATGCAGCCATAAAAATGATGAGTTCACATCCTTTGTAGGGACAAGGATGAAATTGGAAATCATCATTCTCAGTAAACTATCGCAAGAACAAAAAACCAAACACCGCATATTCTCACTCATAGGTGGGAATTGAACAATGAGAACACATGGACACATCCTTGTAGGGACAAGGACGAAATTGGAAATCATCATTCTCAGTAAACTATCGCAAGAACAAAAAACCAAACACCGCATATTCTCACTCATAGGTGGGAATTGAACAATGAGAACACATGAACACAGGAAGGGGAACATCACACTCTGGGGACTGTTGTGGGGTGGGGGGATGGGGGAGGGATAGCATTGGGAGATATACCTAATGCTAGATGATGAGTTAGTGGGTGCAGCGCACCAGCATGGCACATGTATACATATGTAACTAACCTGCACATTGTGCACATGTACCCTAAAACTTAAAGTATAATAATAAATAATAATAATAATAACAATAAATAAATAAATAAATAAAAATAATTTTTAAAAAAACTCCAAAGATCAGAAGGATGGTGAGCCCCTCTCATGGTCTGTGTTCATCCTGAAACTCAAGTGGACATAAAATTTCATCTTCTGCTCTTCAAGGTGCTTCTGGTCAGCCTGAACTCCTGAGAATTCTGGCATGGCCAATTGAGCCAAGGTGCCATCCTACTGACATTCTGCTCCTGTCATAGTAACAGAGATTTGGGACACTGGGTGCCATTTACTCATTTATCCAAAATACACATATTGAGTATCTATCACATGTCAGGTGCACTAGACCAAGGGAGCCCTAGTCCCAGCCACGAACCCCTTAGGGCTGCCTTCTGCCTCATTGATAGAGCAAAGGCCTGAGAAACTTCGTAGCAGCTGGAAAGTGATGCTGCCTCCGGAACATCGGAATCACCTGGGCTTGTTAAACGCAGATGGCTGGGCCCTACCTCACCTCCCACCCTCAGTTTCTGAATCGGTAGAAATCACAGGTGGGGCCAGAAAATGTTACATTTCTCACAAGTTTCCAGGTAATGGTGATGCTGCTGGTTTGGGGACTGCACTTTAAGAACTACCAGTTCTAGAAATTCCAAACCAGACTGTGATCCTCCAAGGCAGGAGAGAACAATGAGGGGAGGTTTGTGTTTCTACCCTTGAGCTAATTTACTTAATTACTGTCTCGGCTTAATTACTGCCCTTAGCCAGTGAAAGGATTGGTTGAGAGCAGTTCCTTGATGTGGACTACAAACACACTTGTGAAAATGCACACACATTTGCATTTACTCACAGGCAATTCCAGTCTTCAGCGATAATCCCTCCAGGTCTTTAGCACTGTGGTTAAGTGTGTGAGGCCTGCAGTCTCAAACCCTAAACTTCAGTCCCAGCCCTGTCACTTGCCAGCTGTCAGACTCTGGGCAAATCCTCCACTCTCTCTGAGCTGTCATTTCTTCAACTGTAGGCTAATAATAGTATCAAACTCACAGGACTGTTCTGGGGCATCTGCTGAAGGGGGCGATGCATGGAAAGCGCTCGGTACTCAGAACATGTCCAGCACCTGGAGGCCAGCATTAGCCTTGACAGAAATAACAGTACTGCTGCTACTGATTTGTGTTTCTAACTAAATATTAATATTTGTACTAGAGGTAGTTTGGCGGGGGCGGTGTTCTCGTTTTTTTGTGTTAATTTTTTTTTCTTTTGAGATGGAGTCTCGCTCTGTTGCCCAGGCTGGAGTGCACTGGCACGATCTCGGCTCACTGCAACCTCCACCTCCCGAGTTCAAGCGATTCTCCTGCCTTAGCCTCCTGAATAGCTGGGATTACAAGTGCCCACCACAATGCCCGGCTAATTTTTGTATTTTTAGTAGAGACAGGTTTCGCCATGTTGGCCAGGCTGGTCTCGAACTCCTGACCTCGTGATCTGCCCACCTCGGCCTTACAAAGTGCTGCTGGGATTATAGGCATAAGCCACCACACCCGGCTGGTGTTCTGTTTTTAATGTGTGCTCTGTGTCTGTCACCAGACTAGTATTTGGGGGCTAGGGCAGTCACCTTCTTCCTTCCTCTGTGTCCTCTGTGTTCTCAATCCAGTGCATGAGATAGAAGGAACAGAGAAAACTTGGAGAACTCAGTTGTTCTAGGTCCATGCTGCAAATGCAGAAGGAGTTAAGAATTACAGAGATGTCTCAGAAATTTCCTTTCTCTAAAATAGCTATTTTTTTAAAAAAAGGATGGGAGAAATTTAGTTTGTATATGTTTGTGTATTTTTTACTGTCTGCTCCCACTCACCATGTATACTGTCAAAAGAGGTTTTAAAATGTGTGTTGTAAATTCCATGTGGTCAAGGGCTATGTCTGTCCCATGTGCCACTGAATCCCCAATGTCAAGCACATTGCCTGGCACAGGACTGGCATTCAATGTATGCTGGGTGGCTTGAATGAATACTGACCCAAGGGAAGGGACTAGACACAGAAGCTTCAGGAAGAAAAGAATGAATTATGAATACTTGAAACTGGATTTCTCCAGCTGGTGACGAGGTGGTCCTGAAAGAAAGAGCTGAAGCAGTAGCTAAGAGCAACGGGTGTGGGCACTTGCTGGCAGGTGGTCTGTAATCCTGAGCTAAGTCAGGACCTCCCAGTGAAAGCAATCACAGCTGCTGATGGCCCAAGGCCCGGTGGAACCACTCCTCCTTCCCACAAATGCCATTTCTGTCTTCGCTGTTGCTGTTTCCTGGATCTAGGATTGCCAGATTTAGCAAATCAAAATGCAGAATGTCCAGTTAAATTTAAATTTCAGATAAATGATGAACACCTTTTTAGTATAAGCATGTCTCATGCAATATTTGGGACATGTACTAAAATTGTTTTACTGTTCATCTGAAGTTTAAATTTAACTGGGTGTTCTGTATTTCTTCTGGCGACTCTGCCTGGGCCCAGAGTACCCTCTTCAACTTGTCCACTGGGGGAACTTCTCCTCCTTTCAGGAGCTTCCTCTAATACTCCACTCCACCCTAGGCAGAACTCACCATTCTAGCCTGTGCTCCACCTCATACCTGGTCATCACGCACAGATGGCCATCTCCCTCCTATGGCCCCCTCTGCATCCCCTGCCTGTGGGTAAACCTGTCACTTAACACCCCAGAACATAGAAGGGTGAGTGTTGAGAAAAGGGATGGGAAAAAGTCAGAAACATACATAGAGGATAAAGAGAGCAAGTCTTAGACTTTGTAGGTATGTCCTACCTTTCATGGGTGAAAGGCACTCTAGCACTTGATTTCCTTACATGATTCTTTGTAGATTCTCTGAATGGTGAAAAAGGGAAGATGGCTTACCAAAATCCAATGGCAACTTTCTTCCCTAGCAACTCAAGCCGTCCTTCAAGTTTATGTCATCCCATACCTATAAGCATTCTCTACCCTATGATGATCTGAACCTCCTGAACGATTTGATTAAGCAGAAGTACTCTCAGTGGGCACAAAATAGTAGAAAGAATGAATAAAATCTAGTATTTGATAGCACAACAGGGTGACGACTGTAGTCATTAAGAATTTAATTGTAGATTTTAAAATAACTAAAAGCGTATAATTGGCTTGTTTGTAACACAAAGGATAAACGCGACGGGATGCATCCCCATCCACGATTATTACACATGTATGCCTGGATCAAAATTTATCATATACCCCATAAATATATACACCAACTATGTACCCACAAAAGTTAAAAAATAAAAATTAGGCCAGGCACGGTTGCTCACTCCTGCAACCCCAGCACTTTGGGAGGCCGAGGCAGGCAGATCATTTGAGATCAGCAATTCGAGACCAGCCTGGCCAACATAGTGAAACCCCATCTCTACAGAAAATACAAAAATTAGCCGGGCATGGTGGCACACACCTGTAGTCCCAACTACTTGGGAGGCTGAGGCACGAGAATCACTTGAACCTGGGAGACAGAGGCTGCAGTGAGCCAAGATCGTGCCACTGCACTCCAGCCAGGGAACTCTGTCTCAAAAAATAAAATTAAATTAAATTAAATTAAAATTAAAAAAAAAGAAATGCACTCAATGGAAAGAAGAAGATGGCCAAGGACATAAATCTCAAATGGCTTTGTCATAAGAGAATTTGGGAAGTAGGGGAGTAGCTGATGGGGAGACCACGGGCTGTGCCCATTCTCACACCTTCAGAATCCTGGAGGGAGTCGTGTGGCCACAGGCTATCCTTCTCAACGGGTTTCACAGGCTTTTCATAGGCAGCAGGCATTACTGGGATGTGTTCCTGCAGATAGAGGGCTCCAGGCGCCCTCCCCACACTGCCTCTCTCATGAGTTACCGCCTCCGGAAGGATAACAAGGCTACAGTATCGCCACTGTAGGGGGCCCTCCCGGGACGGGGAGGCTGTCAGCTTATCTCCACAGCCCTGGTGCCACACACTGCATCCACAACTAATGGCCAAGAAGCCAGCATGTGACCAAGCCGCCTCACCTCTGCACTGGGCAGCTCCTAGAGGACCCAGCAGCCAGGCTTCCTGGCCACAGGCCAGCCCCAGGACCTTCTCCGTGCCCGGTCGACATCGCTGAGGTTGCCCCCCTCAGCCCCGGGCTACTGTGGAGCTGGAGGGAGTTTCCAGAAGCAACCCCAGTCAGAGAACTGACTCCAAAGCCCCCTGCACACCCAGGTCCCCGTACCTCCTCAACCCTGCCCAGCCATTGACCCTGTTCCTTTGGCTGCCAGGGCTCTGTGTACCCCCACCCCACCCCAGCTGAGAATCCAGAGCAAGGCCCTTCTAGACCAGTGATCTCAGCTGCCCAGGCTTCAACCAGGGGATTGCTGGGTTTGGACCCAGTGGAGGATGCAGCTAAAAAGGGGGCCCTCCAGAGGCATTGGGGAATGGGGAGGGAGTCAAAATGATCTTCCTGGCCCAGAGCCAGAGAAGTCCCATAAATGTCTGTGGGGGTGGAGCATGGCTGGAGGGCAAGGAGAAGAGAGTGGAGGGGGTGAGATAAGATGACTCTGTGATGTACTTACATGCCGACGTTCCCCAGCAGTGCCAAGTGTGTAAGGCGTTGCTCTCAGAGCTACTATAATTATATCCCAAATGGAAATAATAATAATAATTCCCTGATACATGTTGCCACTAGAGCCAGGCTGTTGAAAGAGTGGGAAGAGGGAAAGAAACTCCCTTTCTTCCAGAACAGCCTGTCATGCTCCCAGATCGTTATTCCTAGGCCCGGTCAGACCCAGCTTCTTTCATACTGATTCCCCCACTCCAATTCAGGAGACTTTCAGGGTGCAGGGGTAGGGGTGACAAGAAAGGAAGTTATCTACACCGGTCTAAGCACTCGCTGGCGGATCCAGAGGCAGGGGGCAGGGTCTCTGGCCCCATCAGGAGAGGGAGCTGTGAACTAAGCCCTTTGTGCTTTTTCTTGATCTTCCTTGGGACAGGGCTGGCTGGGTTGTGGCTACTGCCTGTGACTCCAAATCAGAGGAGGCAACTCTCGCCCATAAGTATGGACCCCAGCCTCATCTTCTACCTCCTCTTATCCTCTCCTAACCCCAGACAGACAGCCAATGTCGAGAAGAGAAGCAGAGGAGGCTAAGTGGAGACAGCAGGCAGACCCTTGTCCCGACCCCTTAGTGACTGTCCTTACTCCTGGGTTGGGATGTCGAGGCAGAGGCCAGGAAGCCCTGGGAAGACACACACACATAAAATGGAAGTCAGCATCAAACCCTTGACTTTTGATCCATCTCCCACGGCCAAGGCTCCTTGTAACTGAGATGGGCAAGGGAAATGGAAGATTAAGAGAGGGAGGGGCTAGGCATTGTGGCTCACCTCTGTAATCCCAATACTTTGGGAGGCCAAGATAGAAGGATTACTTGAGCCTAGGAGTTCGAGATCAGCCTGGGCAATGTGGAGAAACCTCATCTCTACAAAAATTAGCTGGGCATGGTGGTGCACACCTGTAGTCCCAGCTACTTGGGAGGCTGAAGTGGGAGGATTGCTTGAGCCCAGGAGGTTGAGGCTGCAGTGAGCCAAGATCATGCCACTGCACTCTAGCCTGGGAGACAGAACAAGACTCTATCTCAAAAAAAAATGAGAGGAATGACCTCCAATGCCCTGATGGAGAGAGAGGAGGTAACCGCGCAGACTACTGAGTTTCCGCTGCTGAGCTCATTGGCAAATTTTGACCTTGGCCTTGGCAGACATGCCTGCTGTGGGCAGTGGGGCCTGTGGACAGAGGAGGGCAGGAACAATAGTTTATAGCTTTGTTTTGTGGGAGGAAGCAGCATTGGGCCCAGTTCCTGGAGACTGTCCAGTGAGCTAATAGCTGGGGCACATTGTTGGCTTCAGGGTAAAAGCACAACAGAGGTTTCTGTGTGGGCCCACCACAGAAACCACCGATAGTGCCCCATATACAGCTCTACAACCACATTCTCGCCCAAGCTCCACACAGTCCCCCGGGGCCTTGCTCAGAAAGGCCACTGCCAAGCAACGCATCTAAGCGCAGTGTGCTTTTGAGGCTTGGAAATTCATGGTGGCAGCTCTGCCACCCGCAGCCAGGCTGGTGGCTGCCGAGGCCTAGAAAGGACAGGGCATCCACCAGGCTAGGATGGGAAGGCTGTGAGTAGGGGTGAGCCAGGAGTCAAGGTTGGAGGAGCTGCTCCAGGCTGCGGTGGGATCAAAGCTACCATAGCCCCCCGACATCCCCGACCTGGCTGCTGGTCAGTAGAGGCTAAAGGAGGCTGCCCGACATCGCCTTCCTGTTCCTCCTCCTATGGAATTCCCCTCGGCAAGGGCCACCAACAGCACAGCCACCCCGTGCAGGGGGCACTGCCAGACAAAAGCGCTAATGGCTGCAAGCAGAAGTTGCTGCCAGTGGAGTCTTGTGCCAAGATAGGTACTGGCAGCCGAGGTACCCTTGGGCCACACCCTGTGCAGTGGGGATTGTGGGTATACCATCCCAAGCTGTGAGTTTTCTGTGGTTTTCCCTAAGAAACCACAGGCTCTGTTACAGGCCTGGGATTTTTTCCCCTCCTGCTGCAGAGTCATGCGTCAGAGGGGGTTCTCTGAAAGCCATCTCTCCCACCCCACCCAGAGGGAGCCATGTGGCCTGGTCCCGGAGGAAGACAGTGAGGGGGCAGGCTTCGTCGGGCTGTGCTCCGAGGCACGGGCCTGTATCTGTGGCTGGACAGGAGAGAAGGTCTCCGCTGGCAGCTCACTCAGCCCCGCAGCTCCTCTCTCCCCACATGGGAAATGCAGCCAAGGCCACAGGCCTGTGCCTGGCTGGAGAACGCTCAGTGTTGGCAGCATGCTTGAGAAGCTTGGGCTGTTCCCCTCACCTCTGTCTTGGGAAGCTTCCAGGGGAAGCTGTCTCTGGGGGAAGGGCTCCACAGACTGTGCAGTTGGGTTCAGAAGGTGCAGAGCTCAGCCACTGGGAGCTGGTGTCTCAGCCCAGCCACTTCCTACGTGTGAAACTTGGGTGAGCCACCTGGCCTCATCAGGTCCCAGCTTTGTCAGCTGTGGATTGGGGAATGTCAGCCTGCACGGATTAACTAAAACCATACCTATAAAGCAGCCCTTAGTGCCTTGGCAGCACATAGGGAGGGGCAGGAGGAGGGAGATGAAGAGATGAACTCAGACAGGTCAGGAGGTCAGTGGGTGGAGACTAGAGCCAGAAGGAGAAGCAGGAGAGACCGCGAGCAGGAGAATGCAAGAGCTGGGAGATGCGGAGCACACGGGAAGCGAGGCAGATGGGACGATCTTTCACGGCAGTCATCATTCATTCATTCACTCATTTAACACATATGTATTGAATGCCAGCTGTGCAGCAGGCCTTCTGGACACTTGAGTGAATGAGGTAGTGCCCCTGCCCTTGGAGCCAAGGGCTCTGTGATCCACTGGACCCATAGAAGATGGGTAGCTCTTACTTCTGGGTCCCTTTCCCACCTACACACATATCTCCAGGGGAGACTTTTCCTCTGGCATCAATAAATGGAAAACTATTTCACTAAAAAACTGTCATTACATCAACCTCTCCAGTGTCAATGTTTATTCCATGGGCAGTTCCCACGGCAGGGTGAGAGTGAGGCAGCAAGACCACAGGCAGTGTGGCCCCCAGGGCTGCCAACACTTGTCCCTGGAAAGCCTTGTCTCTACTCATAAGGATCTGCTCTTCTCCTGGCTACCCAACTCCCACCCCAAAATGCCCAGGGCCACAGACTGGAGAGCAGAGGGAGGAAACCCTCAGAGATCTAGGAACATGGCAGGAGCAAGAGCCCAAAGCTTGGAGACAAAGGCAGTATGGAAGATTGCGGAGAACCCTGGAGACCAAGACAAGGGTTCTTGGTTGAAATCTGGGCTCTGACACTGACAAGCTGTGTGATCCTGAGTATGTATACTCTCTGAGCCTCAGTTACTTCACTGTCAGATGAAAATCGCATTTCCCATGGTAGCCATAGGAGCTGAAATGTCTGTGAGTGTGCAAGCCCCAGCGTCAGAATCCAGCTCTTTATAAGCAGAATCAAGGGAAAGAAATCTGTATCTTCCTCCCTGAAGACACATGCACAATTAGCTGCTGCCACAGGCATTCAGGAGCCCATTTCCAGGGTGCTCGACCACTGCCAGGCCTAGCAGCCTGGGCTTCCATACTGTAGGCAATAGGGCTGGCCTCAAGAGTTGGAGACCAGCCTGGGCAACATAGTGAAACCCCATCCCTACAAAATTTAAAAATTACCCGGGCGAGGTCACATGCCTGTGGTCCTAGCTTTTAGGAGCAGGGAGGCTGAGCTGGGAGAGTCACTTGAGCCCAAGAAGTCAAGGCTGCAGTGAGCTAGGATGGCACCATACCACTGTACTCTGGCCTGGGCGATGGAGCAAGACTGTCTCAAAATAAATAATAACTATAAGAAGGCTGGCCTAGCTTTTTGTGAGAGTGATTACCACCCTCCCCCAGGCTGCTGAACTTGCATAAAAGAATGGGTTAATATTTTGCCCCCAGGAACCTTAAATCTGCATAGCCCTTTTCAGTTTCAAAGTCTTTTCTCATTCGCTACCAACACCGCAGAGTAGATAGGGTAGGCATTAGTAAACCCATTATACAGATGAGGAAACAGAGGCCCAGAGTTGTTAGAGAGTCCCAGGGTCACTTGGCCAGGGAAGATCCCCAGAGTTGCCATTCAGTTCAGGGCATTTTCTACCAAATTGTGCCGTAGCTCGGAGGAGGATTTCCACATACCAGCCTCTAGCTCATCCATCAGCTGAGGCAGATAGGGACATGTGAGAGCCCTGGGGAGGCTTATAATTTGGTTCTCCATCTCTGCATATCCACACAGCATTTATTCAGAGTCAGTATATGGAAACCCAATTTTTCCTTTCTTTTCTTTTTTTTTTTTTTTTTTTGAAGCAAAGTCTTGTTCTTGTCCCCCAGACTGGAGTGCAATGGTGCAATCTCGGCTCACTACAACTTCCGCCTCCCAGGTTCAAGCGATTCTCCTGCCTTGGCCTTCCGAGTAGCTGGGGTGACAGGTGCCTGCCACCACACCCGGCTAATTTTTGTATTTTTAGTAGAGACGGGGTTTTACCATTTTGGTCAGGCTGGTCTCGAACTGCTGACCTCATGATCCACCCGCCTCAGCCTCCCAAAGTGCTGGGATCACAGGCATGAGCCACTCTGCCTGGCCAATAAAAATCTTTCTTTAAAGGTCAAAATAAGGGATTTATGACATACATCGGGTATAACAAAACATTTTAACCTAATCAAATTTGTCTTTCTTTTCTGTTTTTCCTTCACTCATAAGATTAGTCACTCACATACATCAGGAAAGAAGTAACTCGCAGAGATAGAATTACAAAATATTGCTTTAAAATTGCTACAAAACATACTTTAATTTTTTTTCCAGCATTCACATCAGCAAAATAATTCCCACTTCTCTGTGGTTCTGTTCATTTTTGTTTTCTTCTGTAATTTTTGAAACTGGGCAACTTCTCGGAAGATGCATCATCTAGGCGGCTCATAGCTGTAAGAGACCTAAACCTCAATTCAACAATGAAGAAACTCATTGCTTCACAGATCCACAGATCCACAAATCCAAAGGTTCGTGGATTGCCACCTTCAAAGCACCTCAGTCCAGTGGCCCAGCGATCCATGCAGCCGTGTTCTCCTTCAAGCCTTGCTTCATGCACAAGCTGGCTCATCTCAGAGGAGCAGAATTAAAATTAAAAACAGAATTAGACAGAATTTAGGCTGCAGTGACCAGCCTAAAAAGGTGGAGGTGATGCCCATGTCCATCGATAGACGAATGTATAAACAACATGTGATGTATATGGCCAGGTGTGGTGGTGTGCGCCTGTAGTCCCTGCTGCTCCAGAGGCTGAGGCAGGAGGATCGCTTGTGCCAGGAGTTCAAGACCAGCTTGGGCAACATGGTGAGACCCCATCTCAAAAAAACAAAGAGGTTAAATGATAAATTTTATGTTTTAAATATGTTACCGCAATTTTTTTTAAAATGGCTATAGTAGCCACAGAATTGCCACCACATCCCCCTGAAGAGAAAGACTCTCTTTCAAGGGAAAGGACACTTCTTTTCCAGATACTACTAACAAACCAGCCCTCTCATTAAGGTCACATTCTCTCACTCCTGAATCATCCCTGTGGCCAGGAAGCATGCTCTGCCCTGCTGGGCTCAGGCCCAGGTGCCTGCCCCAATCACTGTAACAAAAGGCCTGTGTTGACCTTTAGACCCATCAGGCCAACCCCAATGGAGGAGTAGAGTCGGCTGGGCGCGGTGGTTCACGCCTGTAATCCCAGCACTTTGGGACGCCGAGGCGGGTGAATCACAAGGTCAGGAGTTCAAGACCAGCCTGGCCAACATAGTGAAACCCCATCTCTACTAAAATACAAAAAATCAGCTGGGTGTGGTGGCGGCCTCCTGTAATCCCAGCTACTCAGGAGGCTGAGGCAGGAGACTCACTTGAACCTGGGAGGCAGAGGTTGCAGTGAGCCGAAATCACACCACTGCACTCCAGCCCAGGACACTGCAAGACTCCGTCTCAAAAAAAAAAAAAAAAAAAAAAAAAGAGGAGTAGAGTCAACTGCCCCTGCACTATCTGGGACAGGGGCTCTAGGGGGAGGCAGAGGAGCATAGGGATGGGGGAGTGGGGCAGAGTGGACACCTGCACAAAAAAAGGAGGCAGTGAGAAGGGGCAGGGACAATGGAAGCTGGTGGGGAAGCAGAGACTGTGGGCCATCTGCCAACATCCGTTCTTCCCTCTTCCTGGACACACAACCAGACCACATCTCCCAGCCTCCTTTGCAATGGAAGGGACCTGGATCCCTAAACAACTGTGCCCAAAACTAGGGCCACTCACTCCACCATTGTTACATAGAAGAGAAATTATCATCTTTAAGCTGCAGCAGGGGTGGGCAAACACTCGCGCTGCCTATTTTTGTAAATAGTATTTTATTGGAATACATCCACGATCATTCATCTACATATTGTCCATGACTACCTTCACTCTACAAGGACCGAGTGGAGCAGTTGAAGCAGAGAAGATATGACCTGCGAAACCTAAACTATTTACTCTCTGGCCCTTTACAGAAAGTTTGCTGGTCCCTGCCCTACATCAGTATTGGATCTCTTTGTTACCACAGCCTAGCCCTCCCTTGGCTAATGCAGTACACAACCAACACTGCTAACAAGAGGAGATACATCGAAGTGGTTTTGTCTTCTTTTTTCTTTCTTTTTTTTTTTTTTAAGATGGAGTCTTGCTTTGTCACCCAGGCTGGAGCACAGTGGCACAATCTCGGCTCACTACAACCTCCATCTCCTGGGTTCAAGTGATTCTCCAGCCTCAGCCTCCCCAGTAGCTAGGACTACAGGCATGCACCACTGCGTCGGGCTAATTTTTGTATTTTTAGTAGAGACGGGGTTTCACCATGCTGGCCAGACTGGTCTCCGGCTCCTGACCTCAGGTGATCCGCCCGCCTTAGCCTCCCAAAATGCCGGGATTACAGGCGTGAGCCACTGTGCCCGGCCTTAATTTTTTTTTTTTAGAGGCAGAGTCTCGCTCTGTCACCCAGCATTCACCAATGGTGCAATCATAGCTCATGGCAGTCTCCAATTCCTGGACTCGAGCGATCCTCCTGCCTCACCCTCCTGAGGAGCTGGGAGTACAGGTGCATGTCACCATGCCCGGCTATTTTTTTTTTGTAGAGACAGAGTGCATAGTGAAAGCTCTCTCTGTGTTTTTTGTCAACTGTCACACCACAACAATCATCAACACAGAAGACTTCTGTGACCAAATATGGAGGGTTTTCCCCCACACACCAAGCAGTAGACCCCAGCCAGTGTCCTCTAATTCAGTCCCAACACAATCTATCCGGAGACAGTGTCAGGCCCCACAGGTTGAGGGCTCAGACCCCCAAGACTGCCCCCTCGCCCCACCACACAAACTAGTTGCAAGGCCAGGCCTCCAGAGCTTTTGACTGACCAGCTTCAAGTTTGGGTTCCCATGGCCCCCTCTTTGGGTTTGATTAATTTGCTGGAGCGGCTCACAGAACTCAGGGAAACACTTATTACATTTACTGGTTTATTACAAAGGATATCGCAGAGGATACAAACGAAGAGGCATGTAAGGCGGGGTATCAGGGAAGGAGTGTGGAGCTGCCATGCCCTCCCTGGGCGCTACACTCCAGGAACCTCCCTGTGTTCAGCTATCCGGATAAAAGCTCCCTGAACCCTGTCCTCTTGAGCTTTTATGGAAGCTTCTTGACATCAGCATTCTTTCCCCCAGGGCATAGGGTGGGACCCTTGCATGGGAGAGTCTTAAAATCCACAATCAGAAAGGCGAGGGAATGTTAGAGTGAAAAGAGCTAGGGAGAAGGTCAGAGGCTGCCCCTGAGGCCTAATGCACCCAACATTCTAACAAAAGACTGAAACAAGGGCTATGGGAGTTATGAGCCAGGAACCCTCTTGGACGAAAACCAATCTATTTCATAACACCACACTGGGTGTCCCTATGTTGCCCAGGCTGGTCTCAAACTGGCCTCAAGCAATCCTCCCGCCTTGGTGTCCCAAAGTGTGGGGATTACAGGCATTAGCCACGGAACTCAACCCATCAAAGTGTTTGTTTTTGTTTTGTTTTGTTTTCGAGACATAGTCTCACTCTGTCACTCAGGCTGGAGTGCAGTGGTGCGATCTCGGCTCACAGCAACCTCTGCCTCCCGGGTTCAAGAGATTCTCCTGCCTCAACCTCCTGAGTAGCTGGAATTACAGGCATGCACCACCATGCCTGGCTAAATTTTGTATTTTTAGTAGAGATGGGGCTTCACCATATTGGTCAGACTGGTCTCGAACTCCTGACCTCGTGATCCATCCACCTCGGCCTCCCAAAGTGCTGGGATTACAGGCGTGAGCCACCACACCCAGCCTCTCAAAGTGTTTTAAATTCAGTTAATAAACCACTTATTCCCTGGAAACAGCTCCTGTCATGGCACAGCCCACTTCAGGAAAAGTTGTACCAGGCAGCCTGTGAGAACATTTTCAATAGAAATGAGTGGACCAGGAACAAATTTTATTCCTACTCAATGGCTGTGTTTTCTTTGGCAGAAGCTAGACCAAGTTTCACATCACAGTTGAGAGGAGACGTGCATAGGAACTGCGTCATCTGGTTCCACACTCGCTCCAGTGATGTTTGAGCCCCAGCATAGATCAGCATGCCAGGAAGCAGCCCACCGGACCCACCCCTGATCATGGCACTGGACATTGTTTTCCGTGCTTTTCTCAGGCTGGTTTCTGCCTGTCCCAACCCTGGCCATGGCTGACAAGGGGCCCAGGGACACTGGAGCAGAGAGACCTGCTGGTCCTTGGGGTTTCTTGCAAGGTAGGACTCTACATCCTCCCTTGGGAACTAATTGATCTGTCAGTAAAATGTAAACTTCTGACTCCATGGGTCTGTGAATCAGCTGCCTCTAAAGGGAAATATCCCAGGAGTGATGAAAACTTGAAGATCGAGGATTGGATATAAGCTCAGAGGTGAAGGAGGGAAATTCCTCGGGTCAACTTTAGCGGACTGATCCACGGGGTCTGCCAAGAGACAGGAGCTCGAGGGTTAAACCCAAGCACTCGGGAGTCAGATGTATGAATCTGAATCTCAGCCTCTCGGCTTGCTGTGTAATCTCAGGCAAGTGACTTTTCTGTTCTGTAAATCAGGCTGATAGCGGGGGAACCTCTCTCACAGGGCTGCTACAAAGATTGCATGAGATTTTGCTCAACAAATATTAGCTGTTGGCTCCAGAGTTTAATACCTCTGATCACTACAAGCTTTGAAGGCAAGATAAAATAACTTCAACATGTGAGTACCAGGAGGCCTTGGTGAAAAGCAAGCCTGCCGGGAGATAATGCCTGGCTGGGTCAGGATTCTTGGTGCTTATTGACCACTGGGCACTTCAGAGCAGAACTCATCAAAGCCTCTGTATTGGGACAAGGGCTAGGGTGGAGGGGAGGATTGGGAAGGGAGAGGGGAGACTGTCCTTCTTTCTACTAAAAGTTACTGGCAAGAGAATGGGAATTAACCAGGCCTGGAAAAGTAATTTAGGTATTAGAACTTTGAACTCTTTTTTTAAAAACAAAAGACAAAAACAGCTTTATTGGGATATAATTGACAAATAAAAATTGTGTATATTTAAGGTGTACAACTTGATGTTTTGATATATGTACACATTATGACATGATCACTACCATCAAGCTAATTCACATATCCATCACCTCATACAGTCACTATTTTCTTCTTTGTGTGTGTGAGAGATGAGAACACTTAAGATCTATCCTCAGCCGGATGTGGTGGCTCACGTCTATAATCCCAGCACTTTGGGAGGCTGAGGCAGGCGAATCACGAGGTCAAGAGATTGAGACCATCCTGGCCAACATGGTGAAACCCCATCTCTACTAAAAATACAAAAATTAGCTTGGCGTGGTGGCGCGTGCCTGTAGTCCTAGCTACTCGGAAGGCTGAGCCAGGAGAATCGCTTGAACCGGGGAGGCGGAGGTTGCAGTGAGCTGAGATCGCACCACTGCACTCCAGCCTGATGACAGAGTGAGACTCCATCTCAAAAAAAAAAACTATCCTCTTAGTAAATTTCCAGTATATAATACAGAATTGTTAACTATAGTCCCACGCTATACATTAGATCTCCACAACTTATTCATATTGCATAACTGAAACTTTGTACCCTTTGACCAACATGTCCCCATTTTCCCGCCCCTGAGCTGCTGGCAACAGCAATTCTACTCTCTGCTTCTATGAGTTCAACTTTTTTAGATTTCACATATAAGTGACATTATACAGTATTTGTTTTTCTGTATCTGGCTTATTTCACTTAACATAATGTCCTCCAGGTTCATCCATGTTGCCGAAAATGTCGGGATTTTTTAAGGCTGAATAATATTGCATTGTACGTATATACCACATTTTTAAAATCCATTTATCCATTGAGGTACATTTGAATGGTCTACCCTCCTAACCAAGGCCAACCCTTTAGCCCAACTAAGCTCTTGGAAAATGCCCAAAGTTGCTGCAAAGCCCCTGGCTAAATCCTTCTCATCCTGAGACTCCGCTTCAGCGTTACCTCCCCAGGGAGGCCTGGGCTGGGTTTGATCCCTAAGTCAACCCATACGGCACTTTGCATTGTTAAAAGAAATACTTCAGCCAAATTAAATTTAAAGGAGTTTAATTGAGCAATGAACAGTCAGGCAGCCCCCAAATCACAGCAGATTCAGAGATACTCCAGCGCAGCCACATGGTGGAAGGAAATTTATGGACAGAAAGAGGAAAGTGACGTACAGAAAATAGAACATTTTCATATTGTTCAGTGAGTGTCAGGGGCCCCAAAGAATCATGATTCCACAGCATAATCACAGCTAACATGTATTTGGTGCTCTCTATGTACCAGGAATGGCATAAGTGTTGTCTAGTGAATTCACTCAACAACTCTGTGAAATAGTTTCCCTTCTCACTTGGTTTTTAGTTAAAAAAAAAAAAATTTGTAGAGATGGGGTCTCACTATGTTGCCCAGCCTGGTCTCAAATTCCTGGGCTCAAGTGATCCTCCTGCCTTGGACTCCCAAAGTGTTGGGATGACAGATGTGAGCCACCATGCCCAGACCCCTTCCCACTTTTGCATCTCTAAGCTGCCACCTTGCTGACCCACACACAGCTGTGGGTGAAATCCAATGGGCTCAGCAGCCATGAGCTAATAGCACTGCTCCTCCTGCGTAGAGAAAGATTTATTGTTTCGAACCTTTGACTTAGCTTAGAAAACAAAATCAGTAGGCCCCACTCTTCAATGTTTTTAAGGTATGGTCTCCCAGGTGGATTCTGAGACAGCTTTCATCTCTAGGGTTAATTAGGGTCTGGCCATTGCTCATGCGAAGATAGAAGACTAAAACACGCAAATCTAATGCCCCATCTTTGGCTTCCTTGGGAACAGGGGGAGGCTGGGGTGGGATGGAATGGAAAACACAGAGAAGCAAATAGCCCACCCAAGAAAGTGTGAGCCCTCCTGCCTTCACTACCTCTGGCCACCAAAAGAGACCAAACAAAGGGGCTAGGGGAAGGAAAGAATTGGGTGGGGGTAAAAGTGGGGGTCTTAGTAAACTCTAAACTCTTAGAAATAAATGTAGAGTTCACATTCCACCTGGGCTTCCAATGTCCTTCTCAGAGGCAGTCAGGGACCACCAACCAGGGAGCGCGTATGAGGGCTCAGCTTGGTTCTAGAACCTTTGTAAACTCATGCTTGCTATTTTGATGATCACTTACCTGATTTTCCAGAGGAAAACTAACCCAGGGAAGCAGGGAGGAGAGGCCCATGAGCCTGTGTTGGAAGAAGAGGAGGAGAGGTCAGCACTCCACCTTCAGCCATGTCCTAGCCAGAGAGGGGAGTGACAGCTTTCTCAAAGAGAGGAAACTGGGCAGATCCCTGAGGACTTGATCAAGGATGCAAGGCAGGGGAGCACAGGGGGGCTATGGGCTGAGAGGGGCCTGGAGGGTGGCAGTGGCTGGGCCTAGAGGTGGGCTCCGTAATGACACAGGGCTGGGGCAATGGAAGCGCCTAGCTCAGGAGCATGGTGGATGTGAGTGTATATCCGTCCACCCCTAGCTAGCAATTCACTAGCTGTGTGACCTTCCTCTATCTCCACTGATTGTTTCCAAGCCTGAGTTTCCTCACCTGTGAAATGGAGATAATCCAGCAATTGTGACGAGAAATGTGAGAAAATGCATGTCTGCAGCTATTACAGGGTCTGACCTGGAGTAAAAGCTCCATGAATGCCGGCTGTCCTGTGGCCTCCCCGACACGTCCCCCCTGCTGGAAGGCTTTCCTCACCATCTCCCTCATAAACAAAGCCAAGGTCAAGGCTGCAGCCCATGGTGAGAGCAGGGAGAGCTTGTGGGAAGTTCACTGCCCCGCCATGCCC
The DNA here is from genome assembly GCF_000001405.40 of Homo sapiens. Taxonomy (NCBI): domain Eukaryota; kingdom Metazoa; phylum Chordata; class Mammalia; order Primates; family Hominidae; genus Homo; species Homo sapiens. The sequence goes on from NC_000001.11 coordinate 211,643,479, forward strand.
CTGAATGGTGAGCCTCTTTCTTTGATGTGGGCTAACATCCGTGGACTCAGAGGCCCAGAAAGTGCGAGACACGCCAAGGCTCGGCCCCTGGGCGTCTGTTTCCTGAGCAGCCTGGGACACAGGTTGCCCTGGTGAGATGACCCACAGTCAGCACCCTAGGCCTTGGCATTATGCGGGCAGCTGGTATGAGCCCTGCCTCACCCTGCACAGAATTTGCCAGCTTCACAGCATTCCTGCCAGCCCAGCCTGCTCCCAGACCCAGCCAAGTTTCACTCAGGCAGCCTGCATTCCCATTTTGTGCGCCTTGTCCTGCCCAGAGGCACCGGCTGCTGAGGGAAGCATGAGGTCCTTGGAAAGGAGCTGCCCCAGCAGGCCGGTGTGCTGGGAGCCCTCAGCCTCTTCTACACTCCCGCCACCCCCAGCCCTGCATCCTGCCCCAAGCTGGCTGCCTGCCAGCTTCTCGGGTCTCATTTACTTACTGCTGTTTGTTTTGGAGGCTTCTGGGAAGCAAGGCTCCACCTGAGGAATCTTTGGCTGAGGGGACTTGTGACACCTGAGACTTTGAACTTTCAAGAAAACATAAGGCTCCGCTGGCCACTTCCCCGGGTGTGGGGACAAATGTCACTGCAGTGCCGTGGGCTTGCACCAGGCCCCTCCTCCTCTCCAAAGCAGCTAAGGCAGAGCTCATGGACAGGGACCTGCCTGAAGCAGCCGCCATCTGGGGGTTGACGGCTGCCTGGTCTCTTGCTCTATCTGGAAAAAGAAACCATAAGCATTTCATATTTATCTTATAATTCATTTGGATTTGTTTTCATATAAAAGTAATGTCTAAGGGAGGATTAGTCAAGTAAATTGTGCACATGTTCTTGTGATGACCTATTAGCAGATGCCACAGATTTACCCTAGTTTGAGAAACAAAGGTGAGAAGTATCTTTTGTAGACCAGGTGCGGTGGCTCACACCTGTAATCCTAGCACTTTGGAAGGCCGAGGTGGGTGGATTACCTGAGGTTGGGAGTTCAAGACCAGCCTGGCCAACATGGTGAAACTCCGTCTTTACTAAACAAAAAAAAAAAAAAAAAAATTAACTGGACGTGGAGGCACTCGCCTGTAGTCCCAGTTACTCGGGAGGCTGAGGCAGGGGAATTGCTTGAACCCAGGAGGCAGAGGTTACAGTGAGCTGAGATTGTGCCACTGCACTCCAGCGAGATTCTGACTCAAAAAAAAGGAGTATCTTTTGGAAAACCTCTGTTCAATAATTGACTTTTAAATGCACAAAAAATTGGAAATACACCAATTTTTACTTTTTTTTTTTTTTTTTTTTTTTTAGAGACAAGGTCTTGTTCTGTTGCCCAGGCTGGAGTGCAGTGACAAGATCATAGTTCACTTTGGCCTCAAACTTCTGGCCTCAAGCAATCTTTCCACCTCAGCCTTCCAAACCCCTAAGATTACAGGCATGAGCTACCCAGCCCAGACCTCAATTTTTAAAAATTGTAAAATGAACTTTTAAAATCCCTATTAAGGCTGGGCATGGTGGCTGACTCACGTCTGTAATCCCAGCACTTTGGAAGGCTGAGACAGGTAGACAAGGGGTTTGAGACTAGCATGGGCAACATGGTAAAACCCCATCTCTACAAAAAATAAAAACAAAACAAAACAAAAACACAACAATTAGCCCAGCATAGTGGCATGTGCCTGTAGTCCCAGCTACTTGAGAGGCTGAGGTGGGAGGTTTGATTAAACCTGGGAGGTCGAGGCTGCAGTGAGCCAAGATCATGCCACTGCACTCCAGCCTGGGCAATGAGGCAAGACCCTGTCTCAAAGAAAAAAAAATCCCTATTAAATTTGGTAGAATTGTAATTTAAGCAGGTTTATTATAGTGAGTTTGGAAAGAATAAAGAAAAAGAACTAAGTTACTCCCTCACACAGAGATAACCCTTTTGGTGTACATTTTGGTATATTTAAGATATCATACAATATATACTTCTTTGGTCATAGTTAGCACTCTTATCTAAGTATTTCTTCCCAATCAATCAATTAATGTTCAGCAAGATTTTTTATTTTTATTTTTTTGAGATAGAGTATCGTTCTGTCTCCCATTCTGGAGTGCAGTGGCGCAGTCTCGGCTCACTGCAACCTCACCTCCTAGGCTGAAGCGATTCTCATGCCTCAGCCTACTGAGTAGCTGGGACTACAGGCATGTGCCACCATACCCAGCTAATTTTTGTATTTTTAGTAGAGATGGGGGTTTCACCATGTTGCCCAGGCTGCTCTCAAACTCCTGGCCTCAAATGATTCATCTGCCTCGGCCTCCCAAAGTGCTGGAATTATAGGCATGAGCCACCGTGCCCGGCTGGTAAGATTATTTTTTATTTTTAGTGGCAGCATAGTCCACTGTGTGGACGAACAAAAGTTTTGTTTGTTTTTTGAGACAGAATCTCACTCTGTCACCCAGGCTGGTGTGCACTGGCATGATCTCAGCTCATGCAACCTCTGTGATTCTCCTGCCTCAGCCTCCTCAGTAGCTGGGATTACAGGTGCCCACCACCATGCCCAGCTAATTTTTGTATTTTCAGTGGAGACGGGGTTTCACCAGGTTGGCCAGGCTGGTCTTGAACTCCTGACCTCAAGCGATCTGTCCGCCTCAGCCTCCCAAAGTGCTGGGATCACAGGCGTGAGCCACTGTGCACAGCCTAAAAATTTTTTAACCGTTCATTTTTTGACATTTAAGTTGTTCCTATTTTTTGCTGTTATAAAAAACATTCAATAGCCACTTTTGCACAAACATCTTTGCACATTTATCTGAGCACATACTTAGGATAAACTTCATAAAATTGGAATTGCTGGGTCAAAGGATAAGGACATTTTAAGGTTGTTGGTACACCCTGCCTTGGCTGGTTTCTTCCTTTGCTTCTATGAAAACCATTGCCACCTTGAGATCAGGGACGTATTTGCCTAAATTTTCAGTAGTGCTATGATTTTGTCATTAGATGTTTAGATTATAATTCATCTGGACTAATCATAACACTAATAATAATATGAGGTAATACTTATTGGGTGGGGACTATGAGTTGGACATTGGGCTAAGAAATTCTTATGCATAATCTTACTTCACCCCTACTATTATGTTCAGGGAACTATTTTTATTTCATCTTACATAGGAAGAAACTAAGATTGTGAGTTTAACTTGGGATGAGGCAGGGATCTAGCTTTATTTTTATTTTCCTTTCTTTCTTTCTTCCTTCCTTTCTTCCTTACCTTCTTTCCTTCTTTTGTTTCCTTCTTTCTTTCTTTCTTTCTTTCTTCCTTTCTTCCTTCCTTTCTTTTTCTTTCTTTCTTTCTTTCTCTCTCTCTGTTTCTTTCTTTCCTTTCTTTTCTTTTTTAAAGACAGGGTCTCACTCTGTCACCTAGGCTGGAGTGCAGTGGCGAGATCTCAGCTCACTGCAGTCTTGACCTCCCTGGGCTCAAGTGATCCTCAGCCTCCCAAGTACCTGCAACCACAGGCACACGCCCCCCATGCCCGGCTAGCTTTTCTTGTGTGTGTGTATGTGGGTTTGTGTGTGTTTGTGTGCGTGTATTTTGTAGAGATGGGATTTTGCCATGTTGCCCAGGCTAGTAGCTTTGTTTTTCCATATTATTCCAACATCATTTATTAAACAATGAATCTTTCCATCACTGATTTGAATATCCCATTCAGCATACACTACCAATTTCTTTTTATACATAGGATCTGTTCCTGGGCCTTCTCTTCTTTTCCACTGAGCTGCCTGTCCTTTTTCCATTTCACACGGTTTTTTGTTTTTTGTTTACCACTGAAGCTTTAAAATGTATTTTACTGTCTGGGAATGCAGAACCACCCTGTTCTTTTTCTCCCAGAAATTTTATGATTCTATTCATACATAAATTTATTTCCAGGTGAATTCATTTTGTCACATTAAAAGTAAATCTTAGATATTTTTATTAGAATTGCATAAGACTTATGCATTTGGGCAAATGGCATTTGACAGTGTTGAGTTCTCGGTGTGGTGTGTTTTGCCTTTTATTTAATGTCCCTCAGTGTCATTCAGCAGATTTTTTGTTATGAGTTTTGCACAGTTCCTGTATACTTCATTCCTTGGCTTTGCTATTGTAAGTGGGAACTTTTTGCATTATATTTTGTGGCCAGTTCACCCTAGTGTATAGAAAGCTATGAAATGGGTACTAGTGTTTCTCGTTTACAGATGAAGGAGTAGAAATTAAGGGCACAGTGCCAGGTGAGACTCTAGTTGAGGACAGGGCTATTCAGAGGTGCGGCCGTGTCTGAACCTGCCTCAGTCATAACCACTCTCTTAGAAGGAAGCTGCCCGTGCTCTCCAAAGACAGTGTCTGGTCAGACCCAGCTTGGTGTCTGCTGCCTGGCTTGGTGCTCCTGGCTTGGTGTCTGCTGCCTGGACAGTTCCAGATTCAAGGGCAGCCAAACATTTCTGGGCAGCAAGCTCCCTGGCCTGATCAAGCTCTGGGCCATGGCTGTGCCCCGCAAACCCCAGAACCCAATAAAAGGAGTCCCCATTAGGTGGGCATGGCTGCAGGTGACTGTTGCACAGTAGGACTTTGGACCACTTATTTGAAAGCTGCTGTTCTTACTGTTCAGCATCAGAGAGAATTTGATGAACTCTATGGACTCTCAGACAAATGCCCCAAATGCTGTTGACACTTTCAGAGGATGTATGGACAACCCCAAAACACACCCAAGGATCTTGGGTTAAATTAATATTCCTGTGTTAAAACAATGGCCCAGACAGGGATTCCTCCAGGTGGGAGGTGCCCAGGGATGGGGTCACGTTCAGAGGACAGAAGTCCTTGTGTCTGTGTGACTTTGGATGGGTCACTTCCCTCTCTGAATCGTTATTTTCTCCATGAGAACAATATCTACCCAGTCTAGTTATGGTGTTGTTTGGGAATCGTCTGGTATCCTGTCTTGTGACAGTGCTTTGAAAACTGCAGTTAAGTAACACAAAGGTAAGAAATGACTCATGCCAGGAAAGGGAATAGCATGAGGCCCAGCTCTGATATGCAAAGGCCTCTCAGATTCTTAGAGAATATTATTGGCTCTCACACCACCAGCTGCTCCCAGTGAACTTGGCCTTCGCCCCCAGGAATGGCTGATAAAGGCCTTCACTGCTTTCCACTTCTGAGCTGATGGGACTGTTTTAGCTGACCCAGCTAAAACCATGATTAAGTGGCTGGATTTGGAAAAGAAGTGTTGGGGCTCATGGTTCACAGATACGTTTCTGGGTTGTTATAAAAATTAATAATTAGGCTGGGTGCGGTGGCTCACTCCTGTAATCCCAGCACTTTGGGAGGCCGAAGCAGGAGGACCACTTGAGGTCAGGAGCTCAAGACTAGCCTGGCCAACATGGCGAAACCCTGCCTCTACTAATAATACAAAAATTAGCCGGATGTGGTGGCTCATGCCTGTAATCTCAGCTACTCAGGAGGCTGAGACAGGAGAATCGCTTGAACCTGGGAGGTGGAGGTTGCAGTGAGCTGAGATTGTGCCACTGCACTCCAGTCTGGGTGACAGAGTGAAAATATGTCTCAAAAAACAAAATTAATAATTAATCCTCTCCTGCATGCTGGAGGGGAACTGCCAGCAGCCTCCGAGTTATGGAGAGCACTCCTGGCCACCAGGCTCCCCGTGAGTCCTGGCTCCGTGTGAGCCCAGGCCAGCCCTCCTCTCTACTGCCCTCCACTGGGTCCCCATGGTAAAATAAGGGGCTGCACTTGATGAAAGTGAATTTGCAACTGAAAAAATATGTAATAATAAAGCCAGATCCCTTCTAAGAGACTTTAAAGGTCTTCCAACTTGTCTTCTTCCTGCTCCCAGTAGATTATGTCCCCTGTCCTCATGCCCCAGCGTGAACTTTAGGCCCTGGACACATCAGCTTGCACACACATGTGTGTTTGTGTGGGGGTGGGTGGGTGTGCATGTGTGTCCTTGGGGGAAGCTGGGGGAAAGGGGCAAAAGAGAACCCTCACTGGGAACCTTTTTCTAAATACAAATGGCTGCCCCCTTCTCCCTGGGAAATATCTGAATGGGGTGAGGGATATACTGCTTTGGTCTTCCGACCATCCAGATCCCCATCTCCAGACTCTCCAGCCAGAGGGCAGGGCAGTAGGGGGACTGGCAGGACTATTTTGAACGCCTGGTTCTCAGAACCACCTCCCTGCAGTGCTCCTGTTCAGAGGTCAGAGGTGTGCAGCGTCCTTTCATCCTCTCCTTGGAGAGCAAGCCTGATGAGGCAGGGAATATCTTTCTGACTCCCCGGTTCCTGGCTCCATGGCAGGCATGCAACAGAAGCTCTCGGACAAATAAATGGGACCTTCCCCCATACTTTGCCTAAACCTTCTTATGTCCCTTCTCTGCTCCCTCTTTACCAATGTGGGTATCTCCTCTCCTCCCAACTTCTGCTCAAATTGTAGCTTCTGGGGATGCCTCCAGCTGAACCCCCAGGCCTCCCCAGATCTGTGGCCCCAGCCCTGTGTCCCTGCATCTTTGCTGATCCCAGCCAGAAGCTGCCAGGTATGCATTTTCATCAACAGTAGTGAGGACTATTTATTAATTTATTTATTTTTGAGACAGAGTCTTGCTCTGTCACTCAGGCTTGAGTGCAATGGCCTGAACTCGGCTCACTGCAACCTCTGCCTCCCAGGCTCAAGAGATTCTTGTGCCTCAGCCTCCCGAGTAGCTGGGATTACAGGCGTGTGCCACCACGCCCGGCTAATTTTTGTGTTTTTAGTAAAGACAGGGTTTCACCATGTTGGCCAGGCTGGTCTTGAATTCCAGACCTCAAGTGATTCATCCTCCTTGGCCTCCCAAAGTGCTGGGATTACAAGTGTGAGTCACCATGCCCAGCCAGTAAGGACTATTCGTTAAGCAGCATTATAGATCACCTGTGTATGTCTGCTAAAAAAAAAAAAAAAAAAAAAAGGGCACCCTCTCTACCCAGATGAGCAAAGGTATTTTTTCTGATACCTGTAACAAATCTAATATTGCCACAATTGCTACATGATTAGTGAGAGAAGCATTTGATAGGCTAATCAATTGATTGGTCTGGGGTAAATATTCAGTGAATCCAAAGTTCAACTCTAATGAGCCACTTCACTTCTCCTGGGCCCTCTTGGTAATGTGGTACCAGGAACTCTGGAAGTCCTCATGGCATTGCTCAAGGGAGTGGTGGGATGGGTCCCCAGCTGCTCTTTGCACAGCTCTCTGCTCTAGGTGACTGTCTGGTCCATGAGCTGGGCTGGCCCAGTCTGTCTCTGGCAATCCTGGGGACATCTGCTGTTGACATCCTTGGTGAGTGTAACCTCCAGCTTACACAACCCATTGGACACCTCCTCTGCTCTCAAAAACTCTGCTGACCCCCAAAGTATGGTTGTGACTCCCATTAAGCCCAAGACCCACGTAGACCCTATGCCCCCAGCCAGATCCTCATTGGAAACCCCCATGGGAACATACAAGAAAGTGGATCTCTTCCAGTTCCTCCCACATTACGTGGCATCAAGGGCTTTGGGAATGTCAAACCAAATACTCCCCTGTCCTCAGCAGAGCACCCTCCCCTTTCCCAACGCCCCCCCGCCGCCACCACCAGGCTAACGAAGTTCTAAATGGGGGTCAGGGCACAAAATACTCTGTGTTTGCCTTTTCTCTCAATCTATTCAACTGCTCACCCCACCCAACTCCCACCAATCCAGTCCTCTACCCTGGGACTTTAGCCTGCAGTAGGAAGATCAGCCCACGAGTGTGACCACCCAGGTCCCCAACCTCAGCCCATCTTCTTCCCAGTTTCCTGGGCCTGGAGGGGAGCTCTAATCCCTTTCAGTTTTAGCCTTGATATCCTTAACATCTTTGCCACTAGACAGTGGGCCACGGACGAGCTGCATCAGTATCCCCAGAGCTTATTAGAAATGTAGACTCTCAAGCCCCACCATGGACTTGCGGAACCAGGGCTTGTATGTTAACAAGGTGCCCGGGTGATTCACATGCACATTAAAGTCAGAGAAGCGGTGCTGGCTTGCAGCACATCCTGGCAGCGTGTTCTCCTTAGCTTATGTCAGACTCCTGGATCTGGTCCGCCAGGCCTGGTTCTTAATATGTTAGTGGAACTCAGCAAATTTAGGAAACCCTTCTCTCTCTTGTCAAAGTTTGACTTCTAGATGCTGCAGACTCAACTATCTTGCCTCCATGCCTTGGATGTCACTGGCTGCATAAGGACTTTGTCTTTCTCTTGACATTCTTGCTGTAACAATCCCAGTCCTCCTCAGTCCATTCTTCTTGAAAATGGCACTGGGGAAAGAGGCAAATATACAGAATGGAGAAAGAGAGAAACACATGAACATACTTGAAAACTACTCTCCCAGCTACAATAGCTTTTGCTGACTTGAGCTTCAAGTGATGCCAGCAGGCTACATGGAGGGTAGAGGTGAGAAGGGGTGGCACACACTTCACAGATGTCACAGAGGAGGACGCTCCTTCTACCACACTGTCCCTTGTCTAAGGACGCAAAGGAGAAAAGCCTTGCCTTAGCATCCAGAGTGGTTCAATATTACCTGAGCAAGTGAACTGCCTTTATTTTACAGGCCTCTAGGGCATAACTATCCATTTGCCCTTTTTTGTTTTGGCCACTAGGAAGCTTAGAGACAGATTTGTGGTCCAACAACGGTAAGTGTATGATCATGTCTAATTCTCATGCAGGACTGATCCCTGGCTTCACCCTAGCTTGTCTTCTTCCTCCTTGCTTTTAACATATGCATTTTATTATAACCATGTATTCGTATAAGCCACTTTAAATCTCTCCTGAAGCCAAGTGAAATAACTTTGTAAGTAGGTACTGTTCTAGGTCCTTGCCTATGGCGTATTCCCTCTTGATCTTTGCCATTGTTAACATCCCCATTGCACAGATGAGGACACTGAAGCGCAGAGAGGTGAAACAAGCAAGCCAGGCTCAGGGCAACGGTGAGTGTCCAAGCCAGGGTATCTCAGCTCTCTGTGTTCAGAGTTTGGGCCCCAGAAGGGACCACCTGGATCCTGTCTTGGCAGCAGGCAGGCCAACACGGCGCTGAGAGGGAGCTGAGGGGAGGTGTGGGTCAGATTTCTGGCAAGCCCTGAGGCTGTCAGTGAACCGCTGTGGGGTCCCCCCAGCATGTGCTTTGGGGCCACACCCTAATGGGGGTCTTCTTTATGTTATGACCACTCCTGCAGTTAATCAACCACAAGGTTGTTTTTTGTTGTTGCTGTTTTTTCTGTTTGTTTTTTTTTTTTTTTGAGACAGAGTTTCAGTCTGTTGGTCAAGCTGGAGTGCAGTGGCACAATCTTGGCTCACTGCAACCTCCATCTCCCAGGTTCAAGTGACTCTCCTGCCTCAGCCTCCCGAGTAGCTGGGATTACAGGCATGCACCACCACGCCTGGCTAATTTATGTATTTTTAGTAGACACGGCATTTCACCATGTTGGCCAGGCTGGTCTTGAACTCCTGGCCTCAAGTGATCCACCCGCCTCGGCCTCCCAAAGTGCTGGGATTACAGGCATGAGCCACCGAGCCTGGCCTTAAGCACGAGATTCTTAAGGATAGCACTGGGACCGGTGATTCTGTGACTGGAGCTGATTAACTGCTTTGTGGGAATAAGTAAGGGCTTCAAAGATGTGTGCCCATCTCGGCTGCCAGGCCCTGAGTTCTTGAGGTGGAAGCTGACTCTCCACCTTTCTGGCTGATCTAGGCAGGCTAGTTCCCTGAAGACTCAAGGTAAGCTGCCTTCTAGAATGAACTTGGGATGAAGGTAAATGATGACACAGGGCAGCTGTCTGAAAAAGAAAGGTTTATTTATCTAAACCAACAAGAAAGGATTCTTTTTAATTGGAAAAACAATTAAAGAATAGTGCATGTATTCAGATCCTATTTTTCCCAGTGTGTTTTTGTTGTTGTTGTTGTTGTTTTTGAGATGAGGTCTCACTCTGTCGCCAGGCTGGAATGCAGTGGCGCAATCATAGCTCACTGCAGGCTCCACCTCCCAGGCTCAGGCAATCCTTCCACTTCAGCCTCCTGAGTAGCTGGCACCACAGGCACACACCACCACGCCCAGCTAATTTTTTGCATTTTTGGGTTTCACCAGTTGCCTAAGCTGGTCTCGAACTTCTGAGCTCAAGTGATCTGCCCACCTCAGCCTCCCATAGTGCTGGGATTACAGGTGTGAGCCATTACACCCAGCCTACGTGTGTTTTAAATACACATACTCAGATGGATCCACTCAGACACACACACAGACCCCCATACACAGAGACACTCTATCCCCATCCCGCAACACACACACACACACACACACACACACACACAGAGTCTAGAAAGGACCACCAAACACCAAAGTGTTAATAGCTACTTCCGAAAGCAGAGATAGAAACTAGGCTAATGGGTGAGGAATGTTTACCTTTTAATTTTCACTATATATACTTTCCATATTGTTAGAACTTTTTACAACGATGTTGTCACTTCATGATTTAACTGTTTTGTTTTGTTTTGTTTTTTAATAGAGTGAATCATCTGTGAACACTTCCTGTGAACGTGTGACTATGATTATGGAACACTCTGTTGCATCAAGATGGCCAGAGATTGTCTCAGAGTCCAGGCAGTGGGAGGAGGGGGGATTTGTTTCCTGGCTGGGTGGTCGTAGGGCATCAAGGGATGAGCAGCTTTGGTTGTCTGGGATTTCAGCAGCTTGAGGGGAGCTGTAGGGCCCCAGAGCTGTCGCTGTGGCTGTGGTGTCAGAAATGTAAGCAAGGTGCCTCCATGGAGGTTAGCGAGGGTGCCCCTCTGAATGCCGGGTGGAATGCAACCTTTCGCATGGAGGAGGCCCTCAGCAGCTGACCTCTGTCTTCCCTGTGTAGAGGGAGGGAGGCTGAGGCTGGGGCTGAGCGAGGGGTAAAGTAAGCCACGTGTCTCATCAGCTAGCCTGCAGCAAGCACAGCCCTCTGGGAGGGCTGGTTCTATCCTCCTCCTTGGTGTGAAATCCATCAATCTAATAGGGATCCTTATTTTCCCAGCCACCAAGTCACAATGAGCAATAATCTCTTCTTGTTGGTGCATATAAATTTGCTTCATTCTTTTTTAAACAGCTGCCTTGTGTCGCCTTTTGCATTCAGCCCAAGTCCAGCCTAGGAGGACAGCCTTATCTTAAGTCACTGAGGGAACTAGCTTGCCTAACTGAAAGGGCTTTGCCCTGGAAGGAGAAGGGTCTTCTGGAAACATAAAACGTTTCAGGGGAGGGCAGTCCTGAATGAGATGGCTCTAGGGGGTGGGGGACACTGGACCGCCTGAAGGTACTGGGCATCTGGCCTGGGCTTTTGAGGAAATGCAAAGCCATGCTATAGATGATGCTGAGCAAAGGCGGGAGAGAGACGTGGGGGTCCTACCGGGGTCACTTGAAAACCCCTTCTCCGGCCTCCCCCACGCTAACCCATCTCTCCTGGCACGCAAGTCTGGAAAGGCCACTGGCCCTAACCATGCTGGCTCTGCGTCCACCTTCCTCTTCAATTCAAATGGCTTGGATAAAGCCATGGGTTATGACGCTTAACCCATCACTGTGGGAAACTGGATGACTTGGGGAACAAAGCCAACCTTTTGCTGTCTTGCGGAGGCAGGCAGTGGAGGGTTATTGCCAAAAGCCTGAGCTCCGGAGCTGTGATCTCTGAGTCTCAGTTTCCCCGTGTAAAATGTGATTCGAATGATACCTACTTCACAGGGGTATTGTAGGGATTGAAGGAAATAATGGGGAGAAGGCATTTATCCAATGCCCGGCATAGACTCTCGCAGTAACTCCCAGTTGCTCAGGCTAGTCGGGGAGGGTGGGACTGCGGCTCTAGCAGAGCCATGGCGCCACCTTGCGGTTCTGTCGGCCAGGACAGTCGGTTAATCAGATTCAAATCCAGTGACCCTTTTTCAAGCGCCTGTGAGTAGGCCTGTGCTGGGTTGAACTCATTATTATTTAAACATGTAAACTGTGTAATGGTAAGTACAGTGCTAGTGTCTAACAGAACATCTTGGAAAGATCTTACAGTGCGATGCTGGAGAAACATCGTTTGGAAGGAACCCGCTCTCCACGCCCCCATCAAAGGGACCCCCTTCTAAGCTACCATGACTGCTCAAATACCCCAGACGTTCCCAGCTTCAGCGACTAACTGGAAACAAGGTTTTGTTAGCTTAAGAGCAAGGAGAGGGGATTCATGATCAGATTTAAAATGTCTCCTCAGTTTCCAAGTCCTGCCATATTGCTTCTCCCAGTTTCACTCAAACCCCCGCTCCCCTCCCCAGCCCCCTAGCCCACCACTGGTCTGCTGTCTTTCCTCTCTCCGGACCCGCTCAGGTCTCCCATTCCCTTTGCTTTTCCCCTCCACCCCCACCTCCACTGTAACCTGCTATGGTTAGTCTCCTCCTCTTCCTGCTGCACCCCTCATCACCACCTCTTCTGAAATTGCAAGCCCCCACTCCTGCTCCTCTTTCCCACTTTGCTCTGCTCCTTAACGCTTATTGCTGACATGCCCTGTGGCTGATTAGTTGCTGACTGTCACGCCCCATTTGAAGGGGGCAGTGAGGGCAGGGATTTCAATGTTTCTTCATGGCTGTATCTTCAGCACCTTAAACAGTGCCTGGCTCATAGTGGGTGCTCAATAACTGCTTGTTGGTTGAATTAAGCCATGAATGAAAATAAAGGTGAAATCTGGGATGGGGAAAATTAGAGAAGTTGTCCAGCATGCCTCAGGTTTCAAAGTGAGAAGAAAACGTATTATTTTCTAAGGTAGAAAGGAGTTTCCTAGAGAAAGTGGTGGTTTCACAGCCGAGTAACCTGCACAGCCATACAGGACCCCACATGTAGAAAAACCTGGTATTAGGAAGGGCCTGGCACCTGGAGTCTAGTGCTCTGAGGCTGAAGTCTTGAAATTCTTAATACTTGTATCTTTATATTTATTTATTTATTTATTTATTTTTGAGACGGAGTCTCACTCTGTCAACCAGGCTGGGGTGCAGTGGTGTGATCTTGGCTCACTGCAACCTCCACCTTCCAGGTTCAAGAGATTCTCCTTCCTCAGCCTCCTGAGTAGCTGAGATTACAGGCGTCCACCACCAAGCCCAGCTAATTTGTTTTATATTTTTAGTAGAGACAGGGTTTCACCATGTTGGCCAGGCTGGTCTCAAACTCCTGACCTCAGGTGATCCACCCCACCTCGGCCTCCCAAAATGCTGGGATTACAAGCACGAGCCACCACGCCTGGCTACTACTTGTGTCTTTGAATTTGCCTTTTGTAAGTGGAGTCCAGTGGGACAATGGGAGCCTGCGTGGTGGCTCAGGGCCTCCCCTCATGCATGATCCCACCTCCCATCAGCCCCATAGACTCCCAGGATGATTCTCAGACCCCTCCCTACCCTCTAGTGCACTGGGCCCCACCCAACCTCCCCTTCCCATGACCAGAAGGGGCCTGGGCACAGGCAAGGGAAGGGTCAGCATTGAGTATCTAGGCTCCAATGCATCCCCAGGCAGGTCATGGCAGCAGCTGTTCTGAAGCCATTTCCCCTCTCCCCCATGGCAGCCCCATGGCATGTCTGGTGGCCATGTCTTGACAAGGGCCATCGAGGTACCCTGGTCCAAGTATAAAGTCCCAGCTTGGAGGTTTAAAGATCCTTGGAGGTGGCCAAACTGCCATGGGCTGGGGCCGTTGGCCTGTGCAAAAGGAAGATGCCAGGCTCTGCTCCTCCTGGCCTGGCATTGCATAGGTCTGGTGACTGGAGGAAAGGGGAACTGAGCAGGTGTCAGAGTCAGGGGTTCCCAGATGCCTGAGGGTCTGGTGTGTCTGTCTCCTCTGGTCAACTTGAGGCACCCTCAGAGAAGAGTCACAAAATATGAATTGTGAAATTCATTCCCTATCTCAGCTGAATGCTCTGCTATTTGCATTTAAAATCTGCATTGCACGACATAAATGGTAAAATTCATGCTAATCATTTAAATTTTTAATTTTTCTTTACTTAGAATATTAAATAGCAAATAACATCACAATAAGCAGAGAAAGAGAGAGAGAGAAACCTTGGAAGAAAGGGAAAAGCATTGTAGGTACCTTTCAGGGTACTTGTTTCCTGCTTTTCGAACAAGAGTCCCGCATTACCATTTTGCACTAGGTCTTGCAAATTTTATAGCTGGCCAGGAGTTATACTCAACATTCATGTCAAGGTGATTCTGTTAGGATTAAAGATCTGGTAATCAGTTTCTGATTGTGTTTGGATAGTATCATTTGTACTTGATGGAACTATGCTGCCAGCTGTGTAATAATCCTACATATATAAAGGAGCTATTTCCTCTCATTTATTATTAACCCTTTAAAACTTGGTCTTATTTCATTAAGCTAAAAGGACTAGCATTGCCAGGAAAATCTCACAAAGGAAAAGGCACAGCATAGACTGCTAATTTATACTAAAAGTCAGATATATACATATTTAAATATCCATCAAAATCCAAAATAACTTTCCTTCAAGGCTGAGATATGTCCCAACAAGTTTGAGCTTAGATCAGGTTTCTCAAAAGTGGCACTATTGACATTGGGAGCCGATCATAGTCCCAGGAGATACAATTTTTAATGCCATAATCCCGAATGTCATAATGCTGAAGTCCCAAAAGGTCAAAATCCATAAAGTCTAAAACCTGAAAATCATAATCCTGAAAGAGCAGAATTCCAAAAATGTAATTCCGGAAAATATAATTTAAAAATTCTTTAAAAGATATTTATTTACTTTTTTTTTTACATTTACATGTATTTACATTTTTAAAGGGAATTTATTTGAGAAACATATGAAAACACAGAACACTTCATAGGTCACTTTATGCAATAAAATAGGCAATAATAACATACATTTTTGTGCAAGCATAAACATTCATATATACTAATGAAAGTTGCATAATTATATCAGTAATGAACAGACAAGCCATATTCATAAAGAAATAGGTCATAAAGGGGCTGGGCGCAATGGCTCATACCTGTAATCCCAGCCAAGGTGGGAGGATTGCTTGAGCCCATGAGTTCAAGACCATCCTGGGCAAAACAGTGAGACTCCATCACAGGAGGCTGAAGTGGGAGGATTACTTGAGCCTACGAGGCCAAGGCTACATTGAGCTGTGATCACACCACTGCATTCCAGCCTGGGCAACAAAGTGAGACTCTATCTCAAAAAAAAAAAAAAAAAAAAAAAAAAAAAGGAAAGAAAAAAAAAGAAATAGGTCAAGAAGGGAAATGTAAATGCATATCCCCATGGTTGGTAAATGTGTGCACCCAGTTTTATGCCTTTGGTCATCTGAAATACCATAACAACCTAAGATTCTTTTGATGAGATCTATCAAAAACAGGATGGGTCACTACTGCATATGCAGCCACCTAAAGAGCCAAGATGTTCAAACATTTTACCTTTCACAAATGCAGATGTACAAAAAGGACACCTCTTCACTTACTGAGGATGCTTCAATGTTTTTATGTACAGGAACAATGCTTACACACAGTCAATGCTGTGACAATGTACTTTCATGGAGTCAAATTTGCAAAAAAACAGAACTTTCTAAGTCTCTACACAAATTATGCCTCCAGTATCAGAAATGATTTGAAGATGAATTATATAGCATAGCAAATTGTAAAAAAGAATGCCAACAATTTTAAATAGTGAAAAAAAAACATAAAACAGAAAAAAAAAAGATAATTTGACATACAAAAAAGTGTATTACAGGACTGGATTATGGGCAATTGCATGGAGATAGTCCATAAGAGCTGGCCAACCTCCACAATCATTAACTATATTTTAAAGTCTTGCATCATGAGGAATAGCTGCTTTTTCTCTTTTAGGGCATGGCTCTACTTGGAGAATATGTTCACATTCATTTTCTACATGGTGCTGTTCTTCCTGGCATTCTTCTATGATTCCATATACACTGACAGGAGCATTCCCTACTAAATTTCCCTATTTTCTGTGTCATGCTTCTGTGTTGTTTTGGGTACTCAGAAATCTGTTCTGCATGCACTCATTAGGCCACAGATTTGACAGAAACAGTACTGGTGATCAAACAGCAACACCATTGTGTATTTTCTTATCCTACCATGTACATATTTATTTTCAAAACAGTCAGTAACTTTGCTGACGTCTTCAGGCAAATGTGGCTTTAATTCATTAAAAGTTTCTAGAATGTCATCAGCTGGAAGGAATTCCAAGGCAGGCGAATGATACATTTTTTCCCCATCTCTTAATACATACTGTACACAAGGAAACACTCTTCCCCCACCCCCCACCCACCTGCCCTTTAAGAGACAGGGTCTCTCTCTGTCTCCCAGGCTGGAGTACAGTGGCTTCATCACAGCTCACTGCAGCCTCCACCTCCCGGGCTCAGACAATCCTCCTGCCTCAGCCTCCCAAGTAGCTGGGACCACAGGCACACGCCACACCTGGCTAACTTTTAAAAAAATTATTTCTAGAGACAGTGTCTCACTACATTGCCCAGGCTGTTATGAAATTTCTAAGTTCAAGAGATCCTCCCTCCTTGGCCACCACGCCCAGCTGGAAAGTGCATTTTTAAACTGAAGTTTTTTGTTTTGTTTTCAAGGTTACACAGTAATTTATTGAGAGCCTCCTCTCCCTGCCCTTGCAGTCTCTAGGTCACTTTTTCCGCTTGTAGATTTTGCACGCCAGCCCCAGAAAGATGGCTGGGAGCAGGGGCATTGCATACTGTTCAATGAGACCCATAATGTGGCTGTGGCTGTAACTGTCATCCTCATACTGCAAGAACACGGCCAGCAGATCTAGCTCCTCATATAGTGCCTTCTCCTGGACCACCTTCTTGGCCTCCTTCTGCCCCTAATTCTCCTTCAGGATCTGGTACTGTTTTGGAGTGGCCCATTGCAGACACTGAACCACCAGCCAGCTGCATTTGTTGTCCTAGATGGCAGTGCCAACTTTGTCAGTCACAGTGGAGTCCCCAAAGAGGTCAAAGTGATCATCCTGAATCTTAAAGAACTCTCCCATCTCCAGCAGGATCTTCTTGGCATTGGTGTGTGCCTTCTCACCATCAATGCCTGCCATATGCATGGCTGCAGCTATAGGAAGGTAGAAAGAGTAGAAAACTGTCTTGTACTTGACAATTTGTAATTCTTTTCCTTGAATCTGCGAAGATCCACATTGCCCTGGGGGTGCTGTGATGGGGTCCAGGGTCTGCCCAATCTCAGTCTGATAGGAACTCTGCAGGAAGAGCTCAATCAGGTTCAGGTAATAGGGCTGCTCCCAACAACAGAGCTTCAGCAGGCAGTAGATACATGCTTCCAGAAGCATAGCATCATTGACAGCATCCAAACCCACGCCCAGCTTCTGATACCAGCAGATCTGTCCCCAGTGGGTGAGGGATGAATCCGTGATGTCATCTACCACGAGGAAGAAAGCTTGCAGCAGTTCCACACACCAACCCACCATCAGGGCCCGCTGGAAACTATCAGCATCCTGTTTCCTTGGCTCCACCAGCTCCCGGAATGCTAAGCACCGTCAAACCCCGGTGATAACTTGCCTCCGATGGCATTGTACTCCAGGACCTCCTTGAGCTGGGCGATAGCATCTCCTGTCTCTGGGTGCCCCATCTCATCCTCAGTCAGCACCCTAACAATCCGGGAGAAGTGCTGAATGAAATCCTGTTTTTCTTGGGCATAAGCATCTGATTTTTGATCTCCATTCATTCTGAGGGAGGAGCAAAGGGCTCTATTCCTGGATGCGGGTTCCTGCTTCTAAACTGAAGTTTTTGTCATTGCTGTATCTCCTGGCCTATCTACTCATCTAATTTTCTATCAAATGCATTGGGCTGAATGGAAAAAAAACAAACTTTATTGGTAACACTTTGAAATTCACTTTTAGAAGCTTTGATCACACCTAATTCCAAATCTGTTGTTATGGTTTGGGGATTCAATCGAAAGCTATTTTCTTCTGCAAAGTGCAGCAAATCTTCAAATAATTGTTTAAATGACTAGATAAGTTCTAGAATCTTCAGAACCAACAGGGGCATGAATCATGTATAGTTGATAAAAACCAGTAGGGATAGTTTTGAAAGTGCCGTCCACTAGCCAAAATGAAAACATGCGATAGTTTTTCTGTTAGATTTAGTGGTAAATATAAGCAGTCTATCTTCTTCGACAGTCAAATCCCTAACCAAGAACAGTTTGGTTAATGAGTTTTGTAACACTGGAGGAACCTCAGTATCAGCAAGTGTCTTTGGTTCACAAGGTCGTTCAGCTTGTCGAATTTTATTCTCTGACAAAGGGCATTTTTTTAAGGCAAGCGTGGCACTATTCATGAAGGAGCAGAATTTGTACATAACTGAATAATTTGGCAGGAGAGATTTCTTGTACTTTTCACCTGAAAAGTCGCTTTTATGATCTTCAAAACACTAAACATTGAGGAAAGATATTCCCCACCTAGTCTACTGAGACTCACATATTAACCTCCTCTGGAAACACCCTCACAGACACATCTAAAATAATGCTTTACCAGATTTCTAGGGATTCCTTAATCCAGTCAAGTTGACACATAAATCAACAAGTTCACCCCTTATCAACTCGATATCCATCCACATCTCTTAAACCATACTTAATTTCCAAATGAAGACAATAACAAGGTAATAGTTCTGCCTAACATGATGCAATTATCCTGTATACAGCTGAAACGGCACTAATCCCTAACCTCAAATTCGGCTTTCAGGATTTTAACATCTGGGATTTTAATCTTTCAGGATTGTGATTTTGGAAGTTCACACATTAGGGATTCTGATCTTTTGGGATTTAAGACATTAGGGATTTTGGTCTTTCAGGATTTTCGCATTTGAGATTGTATCATTCAGGATTATGATCCAAACCCATGGACATTTTGTTGTCAGCAGCTGTCCTGTGCATTGTAAAATGTTTACAGTGTCCCTGGCCTGTACCCACTAGCAGCCAGTAGCACCCTACCCCAAATCATGACAATCAAAAATGCCCCCAGACATTGCCAAACGTCTCTTGAGGAGCAAAATCACCCTGTTAAGGACCACTGGCTTACATACATGGATTAATGAGATGGGAGGTAAAGCGCCATACAGTTTAGGACTGGAATGCCACTCCCTTGAGCATCAGATCCATGTTTCCTTCTGTACCCTACAATGAAGACCTACAAATCATAAACACAACTCCCATCAACTAAGAGACCAACAAATGCAAGACACATAACTACAGGGAAACTGAAGAATTCTTTTATTTAGTGGGAAAGAAGTAGGTAAATGACAGACAGCTCATATTCTGTTAAACAGAAAAAAAAAAAGAATACAAACATCACAGTGATGAATTTTCACAAAGCTAACAGATTTGAACTACAGAGCAATGGAATATTTATAAGCAAGATGTCATGGTATTAATGACCAAATTGCATCTAACTGGGTTTTCTAAGCTCAAAAACATTTAAAATCTCAGACTTAAAATTTAAATCTAGACATGACAATTGTAAGCATACCACTCAGTCATTTAAAACTATTCAGTGAGTGCTACTCTTCCTGCATAAATATTTTTTTCCTAACATTATTTTTTCTCCCAAGATTTAGAATGTCACATCTCATGTTCCTACTAGTAATCACACACAGGATTAAAAGCCCAACCAAGAAAGTATTCTTTTTATAATATGTTCTTAAAAGAAGAAAGAAAAATTAAATGTGAACATTTTGTACAATAGTTGCTGAAGAACAGTAAAACCAATTCCGAAATATCATGTGTACTATACAGAAAGGCATGGCTCATGGAACCAAGTATTCAACACTACAGCATTTGAATATCAGTCTTTAAAGGTTGGTAATATTACATCCTGTACACAGCTCTGTGTCTCTCTACCTGGCTAGCGCATGCCCAGGATCTGTCTGCTTTTCAGTTGGTAATTTTTCTCAATATCTGACAGGGCTTGAGCCCGCAGCTGGGCAGCGTGAAGCCTTTTCTTCAGGTCCTTGCACTTGGACTTAGATGTGAGCTGACTCTCAGAATTCTCACTCCTCATGATGTTCTCTTTACTTTCCCCACTGAAATGAACTTTCTTCTTAATTACTGAGGATGGAAGATTAAGAAGTTCTTTAGAAGGAAAAAGAAAAAGGGCTCTGAGTTACTTGAACAGAGTTCAACTCCTTCATACTTATACTTATCAAAAAGTATTTGCTCTTATGGCTCACATTTGAAATCTAGGTGCCTGTTTTATTTTCTCTGGGATAGGAGGTTAGGGGTGTAGGACTTGCAGAAATCAGCCTTTTAATCCACAGCATTGAAAAAATAATATTGGAATGTGCCAAAATTCAAGGAACATAAGTTTTATTCTCTTAACAACCAACAATCAATTTTACTCTTAAACACACTGAGTATTATGGACAACATAAAACTTTTGGAAATCAATGTTATTTATCTCTGTCCTTGAAAATAAGTGCCATTCTATGCAGAACACCTTACCTACAGAAAAGTGTAGAAGCAGAGGTTTTTTTCTGTCTTTGTTTTTTTTTTTTTTTTTAAATAGAGAACACCTACAGTTTTGGTTAAATGTTCAAGAACACTTAGTTCAAAGCATCTTAATGGACGAGAAATCTGTTTCCAAAAAATCTAAACAAATTCAGTGTGGAAAAGGTAAATCAAGTAAGAGTAGTAAAAACTGTAAACTATTCTTTACATGGAAAAAATAAATAATAATCATATTTACTTAAAGTGGCAACACTATTAACTGCTGACAGAATTACTGGGGGCTGGAGGCTTACAGATTCTAGAATCCTTTTATTTTTTGTGTTAAAGGAAATATGTTCGAATATTTACTGAGCTCATAGGATGGGCCACTGTGAACCAAACAAAGGCCCTATTCTAGTAGGAGGAGATAAACCAAACACAAACAAACAAGTACTGGTGGGGAATATTTGATGGTAATACGTGCTATTAGGAAAAATAGCTCTGGAAACAGGGACATGCTGGGTGCTGGGTGCTGGGTGTAATGATACAAAGCCTCATACAGCATTTCTGAAGTAAGAAGCCACAGGGCTGTCTGGATGAAGAGTGCTCCAGGCAGAAGAAATAGGAAAGGCTGGCACACAGATGCACTGCCTTCCAAGGGTCCTGTGACTTCCCGCTTCATACGTCGCTTCTGCTTCAAAGCAAACTGGATTGCTTTTAGACCTTATCTCCACTGTTTCAACTCTATCCACCTTCTTATTACCACAAATACCTTTACATTTGTAAGTCAACATTGTCTTACTAATGGGATAGTTTTATTTTGTTTTTGTTTTTGTCTGAGATGGGGTCTTGCCATGTTTTCCAGGCTGGAGTGCAGTGGCTAGTCACAGGTGCAGCTGTAGTGCACTACAGCCTTGGACGCCTCGGCTTAAGTGATCTTCCTGCCTGAGCCCCAGAGTAGCTGGGACTATAGGTGCGTCACCACACTTGGCTCTTAATGGGACAGTTTTATAAGAAAGAAAGTGTTTTAAAAACATTTTTAAAATTCTTCCATTAAATAGAAGAATGAATATTTCATCAAATACGAAAAGAACAGCTTTTAAAAAAGACACTGCTGCTTGCTGTGATGATTTCAATATACTTGTGATGGCTTCCTCACGTGTGGATTTTATAGCCCAAGGATGGGGAGAGAATATTTCCAACTGTCCTGAGTTCAGAATGGTACCCGCTCCCCACTGCTATGATGCTTATCTTATAGCTCTGATGTGTTCACTACTTTCAGCACTCAATACCCTAAAATGTCTGCTTGCCCCAGTGGATACTTGATTCCTATGGCTCATTTTAAATATTTGCCATGATTCACATATAAGTAGATTCCCATACTTATCTGTGTATCCTATAAAGTAAAACACATCATCCTTACTTAGCTATTTTCATCTTTTGCTCAAAGACTATCAGGGCAAATGTAAATAAACTCTTTAACCGAACAGCCATCCCCAACAGGGTCTTAAGTAATTCTCTGCAATGGGTTTGATGCATGAAATTCATCCAGGTAAAATTTTCTCCTCATTTTATCACCCTAATCATGATTTAAGTCTATTTTGTCTTTATGGATGACAGTGTGGAATCTATGAAAAGCCAGAATAAATATTTTTATAATATTGAAATGGTAGACTGCAATATTGGGAAAAAAGAAGGTATTTTAACAGAGATGAAGCCAAAGTTTCATATAATCCTTGTTTCATTTACTTCTATCAGTAGTTTCATTTCTTTCCATCACTTATTCACTACAAAGTTATTGTGATCATCAATCTAACTTAAGTAGGGTTTTTTGTCTGTTCCATTTACAAAATGCTGCCAATGCTCACTAAATTGATCACACTACATCTCAATTTATTAAAGATGGGAATAATAGCTTTCATATATGCTGTCCTACATGGAATAAGGGAGTTATAAAAACTCTAAATTTTATTGAAAATTCAGATGCTCGATTTTTGAAACCAACAACTTTTAACAGTTAGTTTGTGTCATAAATCAAGCAAAAAGATGTTTCACAGTTTGCATTTTACATAATCTTAAAGAGTCGATTAAATTAGATTGAGGGTTTCTATAAAATGGAGAATGTTAGACAATGGTTCACTGGTATATACGATAACCACATCTCAGTGCGGCAGAGTGAAGGGACAATGCCACACAAAGGCAGGGCCCTGAGAAAGCTGAATATCTATATACCAGACTTTAAATAAAGAAGGAAATGCAGAGAACATATGTAGATATTAAACAATCAAATTTCAACAAATATGTCTTTCAACTTGAAAGGGTGTTAGCAAAGATCCAAACGTGACAGCCTATTCTGCAGGTGGCTTATCATGCCTTTTAAGCCATGCTTTCTATGAAAAATGAGGCATGGCAATATTAAAATGTTTATTTTTACTTGAAATGCAGTTTATCTCTCTGAAATCTGAAACATACAATAGTTTTGTAAATGCCCTAATTTTTAAAAATAAGTATCGGCTGGGCACGGTGTCTCATGCCTGTAATCCCAGCACATTGGGAGGCCGAGGCAGGCGGATCACGAGGTCAGGAAATCGAGACCATCCTGGCTAACACGGTGAAACCCCGTCTCTACTAAAAATACAAAAATTAGCCGGGCTTGGTGGCGGGTGTCTGTAGTCCCAGCTACTTGGGAGGCTGAGGCAGAAGAATGGCGTGAACCCGGGAGGCAGAGCTTGCAGTGAGCCGAGATTGTGCCACTGCACTCCAGCCTGGGCTACAGAGTGAGACTCCATCTCAAAAAAAATAAAAAAATAAATAATGATAATAAAAATAAGTATCAATTACTAAACATGTAGTTTGATAAGGTAAAGAAAATCAAACATGAAATTCTATGACTCATTGCCTCAGGTCTATGAACCCAGGAAATAAATCATTGCTATAACAGAATTTTGTTTCCATTGAAATGCATATATTCAATGAAATCCATCTTAAAATTTGAGATTTGTAAATGAAAAGGGCTACCTAAGCCACTTTGGGAGCAACACTGGTGCACATTTCTTCATTTGTAGCACCAGCTTCTGTTGACCAAGTTGATTCTCATACCTGGATTACTTGCCAGAGACAGGAACTTCCGTTCCTTTAGCAAGCTGTAGTTCTTCAACAGATTTTCTGCTCTAGCCAGTTTGTCCTCTGCTAGTCTCTCACGAACACAAAGCTCCTGTTCTTTCTCTTTAAAAAGAGAATGGACAAAGAAAAAAAAATTAACAACTGACCTTGACTAAAAAACAATTTACATTTGGCAATCTTATCACTACTAGCATGCCTGATACTGATAAGCAATGTTTGGGGAAAGGATTCTCACTATGCCTCAGTCAACCTGATTATGTTAGTTTTTAATTGAGTGTTTTAGTAGGCTGTATGTTATCTTAGATTTTCTTGAAAGGACTTGTTTAAACAAATACAAAGTTAGCTTCAACCTTTGGTCATCTTTTGTGGGAGTAACTCATTTGGGAAAACAAAAAACTAAAGCTATCTCTGCTCTTCACTGAAGATAAGCAACAGCTAATTTTCAGGGCATGATCTGGCCTCACAGTACAAAAATCTCCTTCTTCTGGTTGAATGACCACACCCAAACAAAAGAAAAAAAACACAATTCAGTTAGGTGGTAGTTCATAGGATTAGTATTAATAACAAATGTTACTATTTATTCATGGCCCCAAATTCAGAAAGTATTCAGATTTCAGTTGCTATATGAAATTATGGCTGGTCACAGTGGCTCACGCCTGTAATCCCAACACTTTGGGAGGCCGAGGCAGGTGGATCACCTGATGTCAGGAGTTCAAGACCAGCCAGGTCAACATGGCAAAACCCCATCTCTACTAAAAAATCAAAAATTAGCCAGGCATGGTGGCAGGCGCCTGTAATCCCAGCTACTCAGGAGGCTGAGGCAGGAGAATTGCTTGAACCCGGGAGGTAGAGGTTGCAATGAACCAAGATGGTGCCACTGCACTTCAGCCTGGGCAACAAGAGTGAAATTCCATCTCAAAAAAAAAAAAGAAAAGAAATTATGAAACACTGGGGAAAGTTATAAGAAAAAGCTTTCTTATTTTTTACAGAGGTTTCCAAGTAAGTATAGGTTGTACCTATACAGTAAGCATATCTCACAGGACTATACAATATTTCATTATTTAAAGCCTGGATTGGGCATAAAGCTGCAGAAGTAAAATCAGGTGAGTCATGAGGGTGACAGGTCACAAATACGACCCCATCTCTCGTCTCCTGATGTTAAAATGAAGAACCTCACTCTGTAGCTACCTTGCATAACCCTAAATGCTTGCGAGTAGCTCTCATCTTGGTGGAGTAGACACACTTTCAATATCAAAACTAAATTAGCATCTAATCAGTTAATACTCATAAGTCAATGTTAATACCCACCAGAGTATTATTTATAGACTTAAAATATCTTGTATCTAGATTCTCTATTGAACTGCCTGAACAGACCAGGTGTGGTAGGTCACACCTATAATCCCAGCACTTTGGGAGGTAAGATGGGAGGATCACTTGAGCTCAGGAGTTCAAGACCAGCCTGGGTAATATAGTGAGACCCCATCTCATTTTCAAAAATAAAAAGTTAAAAAAAAAGAAAAGAATTGCCTGAACATATCTCATCTACATACTGTAGGGTTTTAGACCTGGAATTCTGTTGGAGTGGCCATTTCAAAAGACAAAAGTCATGGTTTTTTATTATGGAAAGCAGCAATTTTAAGACCTTCCTTTACAGTGGGAAAACATTAGGGTATTCACAGTAGAGACGAAAAAGAAAAAAGTAACTCTAGAGTAAAATACAAGGCTATCGTATTAGGGCCATCACAGTTAAGGCCCAATAATATATAACTAGCAACTGATCTCAGAGAAAGATGTCCAACATGAAGGTGCCAGCAAGCCTGATTATTAAAAAGTCTAAAATACATATTTTGGTTTCTCAAGTATTTTTCAAAAGCTTCTAATAAGATCTGTATGTATAAAATATTCTGCTCAAAGAGATATTCAGACACATCAAAATAACCCACTTGGTAGTTCTCCTTTGCTTTGACCCCCATTCAGACTTACGCTCCAATCTTTCTTCTCTTGCTTTGAGAGCTCGCTCTCGCTCCTGTAACTGAATTTCCTTCAGTTTCAGCTCACTCAATACAGGGCTGGAATCCTGCGATTTTTCTGGCTCTCCTAATTGTCGCCCTCTTCTCTCAAGATTTCTTCTTTGCTCGTCTGCAACCAAATCTGCTATTAAAGGGTTCTCAAGAATTTCTTCAACAGAAGGTCGATGGTAATCCTGGGGAAAAAATACTCAGTATTATAGTCAGATTGCATAACAGAATAGTCCTCCTAAGACAGCAGTTAAAATAAAAGGACAAAAATGTGTTTCCAAGACAAAA